>NC_000002.12:52311564-52614594 GCF_000001405.40 Homo sapiens
ACTATTTGCTAATGAATGCTTGGCAATTTATTGTCCAGTAAGAGAAAACTTACATAAAAGCTATTTTCCAAGAATCTACCAACAAATTTAGGAGACCAAATTTTAAAAAATGTTTAATGCATATGTAGAAGCCAAAGAAAAACTTTCTTTGCCTTCTGAAGGTTCACTGAAAAATCAGCTCTGTGAACCACAGTGATTACCCTCACCTCTCAAAGGGGTACAGAAATTTATATAACACCTTGAGATTACAGAAAAAATGGGGACATCACAGCAGGGCCACAAACAGGTTATGGAGATAAATCAGGTGATAGTGGCAAGACAGGTTATGGGAAGTGGGGAAAGAGGAGGCTTACGTAGCAAAGGTGCTCTTGATGTATACATGAAACTTCACAGATAGCAGCCTTCAAAGAAAACAAATAGTAAACGTTTCTTTCAGATCTTTAAACGTACCAGACGCTCAGTAAATCTTTCCTAGATCTAGACAAAGAAAGGCCTGCTGGCCTCAATGCAGATTCTTTACAGATGCAAATCTCTCCCACAAAAGACAGCTTTGGAGGGCTACTGCTGTTTACTTACTGGCTCTCTGAACAGCCATCTCAAAACATGCCAAAGAAGTGTATTTTAAAATGAAATATTCGTATTTCCTTCATATATGTTGCATAAACCTGTCATTTTCAAGCTTAAAGTTTCCCCACAAATGTAGGTGCTCTCAACCTAGGTGTAAAAAGGGGTATACTGTCACCTGCCTGATGATGAAAGTCACAAACGATCTGTTCAAAGAAAAATATAATAATGTGTATTTTTTTTTTTTATCTTAAGAGCTTAAGTGTCTTTGGGAAATATGTTCTAAATCAAAGAAAATGTAGTTATCCTCACTAAAGTCTAATATGTATGTCTAATCACAAAGGAAATACATCAGCTTTTTATCTAACATTGAGCTTTACCCTATATACGTAAAACTATACTATAGAAACTATAAAAACATATGTAGGAAATACACATTCCCCTCAGTCCTTAAATGCTCCTGCCTAAGGCACCAAAAAATAATTCACACTGTGAGTTTAGTCAGCGCAGAACACTGGAGCCACTAATGAGCAGAACAGCAATCAGTGAATGACTGAAGGCACCACACTTCCAATGCAGCTGAATAAAGGACCTCTGTTTCCTGAGAGAACATGCCATTCAAAAAAATGCACCAAGGTCCATGTAGTAAAACTCAAAATACAATTCTGTTTTGTTTTTATTTTAAAAAATGATCCAATTCAGAAGCTATCTGGTAAGTGGTAAGGCTAGTGTTTCTATAAGAATAGAGAACAGGAGATACCTTAATATTAAGATTTGGCCAGGCGCCGTGGCTCACGCCTGTAATCCCAGCACTTTGGGAGGCTGAGGCGGGTGGATCACGAGGTCAGGAGATCGAGACCATCCTGGCTAACACGGTGAAACCCCGTCTCTACTAAAAATACAAAAAATTAGCCGGGCGTGGTGGCGGGCGCCTGTAGTGCCAGCTACTCTGGAGGCTGAAGCAGGAGAATGGCGTGAACCTGGGAGGCGGAGCTTGCAGTGAGCCGAGATCGCGCCACTGCACTCCAGCCTGGGCGACAGAGCGAGACTCCGTCTCAAAAAAAAAAAAAGATTTCACCGGGTACAGAGAGAATATCTTCACCTGCACACTTGAAAGTTCATTTTAAGCAACGATCTTCTTTGCTGTTAGCCTGCCTACAATACTTTCGTAATCCGGAGAAATGTGACTGTCAGCTATTTCCATTCCCCAGCCCTATTTTTCCTCTTACCATGCTATACTTCGCATGCCCTCATTACACTTTACTATACTTTACTAAGTTGTCTTAATGTAGTAGACTACAAATTACTTCAAGAAAGGGACCTTATTATTTTCTTCACTGTCTACCTGATAGTTTTCACAGTTCCCAGATCATAATAGATGCTTATCAAACGTTTGAAATAAAATAAGGTATAAAAAATGTATGATATACCACAATGTTAGGTGTACAGAATCTGATAAGTGAAAGTCAAAGACCATGTGAATTATATTTTGCTCCTAACAAAACATGATCCAATCACATGCAAACTCAAAGGAAAATATAAGTTCTTTAAGGTTTATCTCCAGGGCATTTGATGGTCTAGAAAAATATTGTCCAATATAAACATCATGGGAACTACGTATGTTATTGTAAGTGTTATGGTCACCACATTAACTAAGAAGGAAGAGATGAAATTAATTTTAATAACATATTTTATTAACTCAACATATACAAAATATCATTTGATCAAAAGAAAAATCTTAATGAGACATTACATATATATATTTTTTTTCATTCTAAGTCTTTGAAATCTGGTGTATATTTTACCCTTAATAGCACATCTCAATTCTGAGAGCAACATTTTACATTCTTGAAACCACCTATGACTATTGGCTGCCACGTTGCACTGTGCAGGTCTAAAGCAGTGCATTTCACATTTTAATGCGCACAAGACACACTGGGGATATTACTAAAGTACAGATTCTTTTCAAATATAATTGTTTTTCATCTTTTTTCTCCAAGCACTTTGGAACTTTTGCTCACTGACTAGACCATCTCCAGTTTCTGGGGGAGGTGAGCATGGCAACTGCAGTCACGTAGTTGGGAGGAGAGGAGCATCTTCTCATGACTTGCCATATGGGAAAAGTGAGATGGAGGGAAAGAAAAAACATTAAATTAATATATAATGTTGCTGCTGGGTAGCTATGTTAGGGTAAACTGTCACAACAAATATTCCTGAACCTCAATGTCATTAAAATAAAGGATTCTCTCTCATTCTGCAAATCAGCTAGAACTACCTCACTGAGGCCTAGCAAGTCATGGGGAGATGAGTAACAGAAATAACAATATTTTATCAGTGTTTTTTGTCATGAGGAAATATTTGTCATTTCTTTCTTTTTTTTTTTTTTTCCCCGAGACAGAGTCTTGCTCTGTCACCCAGGCTGGAGTGTAGTGGCAGAATATCGGCTGACTGCAACCTCCGCCTCTTGGGTTCAAGTAATTCTCCTGCCTCAGCCTCCCTATTAGCTAGGATTATAGGTGCCTGCCACCATGCTTGGGTAATTTTTATATTTGTAGTAGAGACAGGGTTTCACCATGTTGGCCAGGCAAGTCTAGAACTCCTGACCTCGTGATCCGCCCACCTCGGCCTCCCAAAGTGCTGGGATTACAGGCGTGAGCCACCGCATCTGGCCTAATATTTGTCATTTCTTAAAGGACTGCAACAGCTTTTAGATGAACTGTCTAATTGAGAGTGTTAGAAATATTTAAATCAAATTTAAACTAGAAAATTGGAAATCATGGCCTTGAGCTGGTGTATTTAATTTTCTTGCTGATTGCTCTGTGTGCCTTTTTGTTGCTTAGGGTTTTCCAGTTGTCTGAAATATTCGTATTATTCATATTTTGTTGACAAGTAGATGAGTTTAAGAACCTATTTGTCCACAAACCTTTCAGAGAGAATACCTTTTAATCGACTATTTTTTCCTCCATCATCATGTTTTAGTTAAACTCTATCTACTACAGACAACTAACGCACAGAGGTTCAAATCAGACCCTCTGGCTCTCATGGGTATGCTCTTGTCCACCAGTATGTTTTTCCTTGGGAGGTAAAAAAGTATAATAACATAAGTGAAAATAAGGATAAGCTTATCAAAGACATAAACAGGACGTTTAGATTGTTGGAACCATTTTCTTTACCATAGATAGCTTTCTATTGTTTTTCTTCTTTAGTTTCTTTCCTCCCAATTCTCTACTAGCTCAATATTCTTAAATCTATCCTTCTTATTCTACAGATCTTGAGTTATTCCACATTTTAAGATGTTACAACCTTTAAGAACTAGATCTTAATTATCTAGATTTATCCCCACTACTTTAGAATAGGGAGTACGCAATAATAATTTCTTCAAAGATTATTTGTACAAGCCTGACTCTCCACTTAGTACCTCATTGTTTCCTTTGTCTAGAATGGTTTTCTCCTCTCACAACCATTATTTATTTATGTAATGATCAATCATAAAAGTCCTGATATAGGAAGTTTTTCCTGATCAGACTGATTCAACTCTTAACCTCTTAAAGCATTTATTGCCTTTTTTTTTTGTAGAAATTTACTGTGTGTTATATTATTCTTTTAACTTTTCTCTATATAGGTTTCATGTCACTTTTAACTAGATCTGTGAACTCCATGAAGTCAGAAATCATGTCATGAATTTATTTGCATTCTGATTAGTATAGTATCTTGCATATAAGAATTGCCACATAAATGTTTATTGTTGAAGATATAATAAGAATCATGAGAGAGATTCCAACCCTTCTACTCTCCTGGAATAAGAGTACAAACTTAGAGAAAATATTACTGCTAGAAATGAAAAATATAGAAATGATTAATCACATGAACCTCTTAGACTATTGTAAAATCTATTAGCCTGCACTTGAGAGAAGAAATACAGTATAATTTTTTTTCAGTTTCAAAATCCAGGATATTGAACAATTCTTGTATTCCTACAAGAGAGTGAATAGATGATCAATCAGATTAATAACTCCTAAAGCACAACAAACACATGAGAACCTGATCTAAGAAATATTATATAGCCAAAAGCCATTCACAGAATACTATCATTTATTTTTCAGAGGACGGATCCAACATTCAAATGGTCTTGGGTCTGCATCTTAGCTCGGCCACTGGATAGCTGTACAACTGTAAGCAATTTATCTACTCTCAGTTAACGCTATTAAAGTGGGATAAATATAATAACTGTTATATCTACCTCATAATATAATTTTGAAGATTACATGAGATGATCTAACTGCTGATATTAATTGTCCTCTTGCCAAGGAAATGATCTGAATCTTTATATAGTAAAGAAATAAAGGATAGTCCAGAAGCTCTGTCACATAGTCACATCATATGATTTGTGAGGAATGTTGCAAATAATATGTAATAATTACAACATAAAGTATAAGAGATTCCTATTGTCTCTGCACCTAAAGTTAATAACAATGATGGATATGAAACTCCATATTCTAAAGAAAATTGTTTGATACTACTAGATGGCAAAGCTGAACTATGCTTTTCACTCTCTTCTAGCTTATTTAAAAAACAGGTAAAAATTTATTAGAGAGGGTAGATGTTTTTGGAAGAAATATGGAAGCATGGAGAGAACTGTGATATTTTCTCTCCCATCCCTATTGAGTAAGGGAGGAGGGGACACTCTCACCTATGCCAAATAAGAAGGGTCCCTAAGAGATCTCCTGGGCATAATTGGGGAACCTCCCTCCTATTCACCAGCTGCATTCAATGACCTGCAGAAATTCTAGACCAGCCTGTGCTGATACCCAAGTAGTGTGTGATATAATCCTTTGAAAAGCTTGACAGCAATTCTCTAGAGTTTAGAAAGATTGAGGCTGATGGCTGCCTCTTGAAGGAAACTAAAAAATTTCACCCCAAAATATACTGCTTTGACATATTTTGAGATGGATGTTCAGAGGTCTTGCAGACAGAAGTAGCCCTGCAAAGCTGTCTTTCGTGAGGGAGATTTGTACCTATAGAGGAAATAAAGTGAAGTAAACAAGAGATGTAAATAGTCTGTCTCTGAAGCTCCTTCTTGTCTGGATCTAGGAAAGATTAACTGAGAGTCTGACACCCATCTAGTCTTTCTGAGAGCTGCTACTGTGTGATTTCATCTACCTAACAAGACCACTTTTGCCAGCCAATCCTTTCTCCGTTCTCCCTCCCATAACCTGTCTTGCCACCACAACTTACTTGGCCATGCCTCAAGCCCTTATTCTTTCTGTAACTTCAAAATGTTATGAAACAGCCTGGGCAACATAGTAAGACCCCGTCTCTACAAAAAATTTAAAAATTGGCTGGGTGTGGTGGTGGTTGCCTATAGTCCCGTGTACTCAGGAGGCAGAGGTGGGAGGATCACTTGAACCTGAGAGGTGGAGGCCGCAGTAAGCCATGATCTGCACTCCAGCCTGGGCCACAGAGTGAGAGACCCTGAAAGAAAAGAAAGAAAAGGAGGGAGGGAAGGAAGGAAGGGACGGAGGGAGGGAAGGGTATCAACCATCTGGCCATTGCATAGAGTTTTTCATATTTGTATGACTCCCATCCCTGTATGGATGTTAATAAAATTTGTATGCCTTTTTTCCTGTTAATCTGGCTATTAATTTGTTTTATAGACTCAAATTATCCAATCTTCAGGGGAAAAATTTAAACGTCCCTATGCTCTCAACTAAAAACGTCTTGAGGCAGGAGACAATCTAGGTAGAAGGGCAATAGCAGGGCAAGGTGGAGAGGGAATAGCTACAGAATCAAGTGCAATTCCACCTTATTTTTTAATCTACATCAAATAATTTTACTGTGTGGTGTGGAGGTAATCTCAGAAATCTCAGAAAAACAAAACAATAATATTTCCCTAAATGAGCCAGCATTGGAATGCTTCTCATGAAGCAGAACATTTCACCAAGTGACAAGTGTTAATATTACTAGCTAAGTCTCATCCTTTCTCCTTGCCACAGCCTAGTGTCCTGAGTGGGGAGGAAAAGTCAGAGGAGTAAGTGAGGAGAGGAAGTTGAGCAGGGAGAGAGAAAGAAAAGGACAAATACTACAAGAACCCTCTCTAAGATTCTAAAGTAAGTGGGCAAACAATAATTATTATGCTGGTATGTTAAATACCTAAAAATAAAATAGGTCTGTTACAGTCTCAAATGATTGGAAAACTATGAAATTCGCCAGAGATATTTCCATTGGGTTGCAAAAAGAAATACAAAAGAACAGGTTTGAGGACCAAAAGTAGAATAAGAAGCTGCTTTCTGATATTACTGCTTTACTGTTTTGTGTTTTTGTTTTTGTTTTTGTTTTGAGTCAGGGTCTCACTCTGTCACCCAGACTGGAGTGCAGTGATACAATCACAGCTCACTGCAACCTCCAACTCCTCGGTTCATGTGATCTTCCTGCCTCAGCTTCCCAAGAAGGTGGGGTTACAAAGAAACATGCCACCATGCCTGGATAACTTATATATATTTATATATAATTTTTTTTTCTGGATACATGGGGTCTCCCTCTGTTGCCCAAGCCGGTCTCAAACTGCTAGGTTTAAGTGATCCTCCCACCACAGCTTCCCAAAGTGCAGGGATTACAGGAGTGAGCTAACACACCCAACTCTGCTTTACTATTTTAATGCAGCCTATTAAATACATCCATCACAGTTTATTTCATGCAATATTATGTATAAAAGAACAATATACTTACTGGTTCTGACTAAAAGTTATTCTATAACACTGCTCTCATTCAACTGCATTTTAATATGTTTCCTGATTGTGAGAAATGAAGGGAGATTTTGGTTCATCATCTGAGAATTGTCTATATTTGTGTGTATACATCTATTCATTTAAAAATAATTAGGTAAGAGTCTATAAGTGAGTCACCTAGGTAGATTGTATTACACATGGGAAAATTATCTATTGTGTATGTTGTACTAGAACATAGGCTGAAAACCCCCAACCGATACCTATGCAGCCAATAAGATATCTGGGATTACTTCAGAATAATTCAAAGTAGGGAAGGTGGGTCATATATAAGTAAAACAAGATCGGTACTGAGTTAAAGATAATTTCAGAAGCTGGAAGACAGTTGCATAGTGTTTACTATATTACTCTGTTTTCTTGTATACACATATTTGAAATTTCCCTTAATAAGATGGTGATAAAGAAACAAAAAGGCCAAGTACCCTGAGTAAACTTCTCATGGTAAAATGCATTGGTGGGTTTCCAGGAATTAAGGAAAATATTCAAAAATATTATATAAAAACTGCATAGACTGTCAATAGAGGTACTTACTAATGGACCTAGTAGCAAAGTGGAGGAGGATTAAACTGATACTCTTTCATTTTAACTGAGTTCTTCTAAGGGAGTGGTCCAAACCCAGGGGAAAATAAAAACAAAATAACAAAATATAATAAAAAGTAAAATAAATATCTGATATCTAGCAGAAGCCAATGTACACTCTCTCTACAGACAATATCCCCAAGTTGAGTCATCTACCTCATATCTAGCCTTATAGACATGAAGATCAAGGGAAAATTAGCTCATAGTCAAAGATCATCAACAGTACTTAAATTAAGTTTATCGTATAAATACACCCTGCCTGGCACTGCTCTCTTCAAAGTAAGCATAGGATAGTTTATCATTCTGTCTAGCCCACCCCACTGTTTGTGACTTTCCTTCAGAAAACCCTACTTTATGGTTATACTGCATGATGCTACTTTTGTGCCCATACCCTACATTAGCAATGATATACTAGGCTTATTGCTAATTCCTTACTTAAAAGGAAACATTTCCAAATTTTCCTTATTATGAATATATTTTATAGATATCCTTAAGCAGTTAACCAAGTTTTCTTCTATTCCTAGTTGACTCAGAATCTTTTTTAAAAAATCATAAATAGTGTCAAATTTTATAAAATAATCTTCCTGCATCAATTGAAATAATTATATGACTTTATTATCTAATTTGTTAAATGTGGAAAGTTACATTAAACCACCTTTACATTCTTTGGACACAACTAGTTTGGTGATAATATACAACGATAAAAAAATAAAATATTAGAATACAGAGTAAAACAATACAATTTTGAGCATAAACTTTTCAGTGATTTTAAGAAGTGCTTTTATTTCACATATTAAATTTAGCATGTACTAACTTAGCAAGTATTGCCTACATTTTCTTTTAAATGTCCAAAGAATTATGAAAAATCACACAGCCTAAAAAACCAGCACTTCAGAATTTCAGATATCTCAGTGAATGAATTTTAAAATATCATAAACTTTTTAAAACACACACATTGGGTGAATACAAACCATACAAAATAAATGTACAGTGTCTAAAATATTTTTCAATAACAATTAAAATAAATAGATAAATATGAAGAATTTGGAAAATATACTAAGGCAAAATTTTAAAGACGGTCGAACATACATTTAAGGACTGACACCACATGATTGTACTGGATGATCTTTAGTAAAATCATTCAATCACTTTTCCCCTCTGCTCTCCCCCAAAAACCAACACACACACACACACACACACACACACACACACACACACACACACACACAGTCTCTCTCTCTCTCTCTCAGATGCTTGTATCTTAAATGCAGATGACTCTTTAGTTTCTAATGCCATCATGATAGGTGAAGGAGTCTCACAGGTTGTGTGATGCTACCCAGTAAGGAGGGTAAATTCTGCATCGGTGCATTCAGAACACTGTCACACAGACTGCATTACTCAGTGACTACCTGGAGACGACAGTTACCTCAACATGAAAGTACACATGACTTACAGTTTTTTGGAGTGGACTTTGCTGATGAGATATGGGTGACAGGGAGGAGTGGGGGTTACACTTCTCACTTACTGTCTGTTTGAACTTAGACAAGTTACATAATTACTATAAGCCTCATTTGTAATAACATCTATCATTAAGGTAGTTATGACAACTAAATGTACTGATTTCTGTAAAGTGCTTGGAGGATTAACTGACCTACAGTACAGAATAATTTATGGCTATCATTATCATGGGCCAAGTGGGAGACTACATTCTCCCTTCCTTTTTCTTAGATGCCATATTGCTTAAAGTTTCCAAAGATGCCTTCCAAAACCAAGAATTAGTCTTGCTGAGTACTAAGCTAAAACTGTTCAAGAACATATGCCCTTATATTTATTATCTCTCCTTCCCTGCCTCATTTTATGCTTTCATTGAGCCCTGCCACCCAGGGATTGCACTATCCAATAACATAATACCAACAGTACTTTTAGACTCATGCATTGTTTTCTAGATCACAGAGCTAAGACTATGACAAAGTAAGAATGTAGCCATATTGGAAATAATACTCTTGGAAGAGGGTATTATTATCCCAGAATTTTCCTGGGATAATTACAAATTAGGAAATATATTGAAAATGTTTGATATATTCATAAATCATGGAGAAGGAAAAAGTCCATAACAACCTCTCAGTAGATAACAAACACAAATTCAGTAGAAGTCAACATACATTTTTGAATAATGAGGCTGGGCATGGTGGCTGACATATGTGTGATCCCAGCACTTTGGGAGGCTGAGGCAGCGGGGTGGCTTGAGTGCAGGAGTTTAAGACCAGCCTGGGCAACATGGTGAAACCCCATCTCTACAGAAAATACAAAAATTAACCAGGTGCGGTGGCTCACACCTGTAGTACCAGCTATACTGGAGGCTGAGGTGAAAGGATTGCTTGAGCTGGGGAGGCGAAGGTTGCAGTGAGTCATGAATGTACCACTGCACTCCAGCCTGGGCAAGAGAGTGAGACCCTGTCTCAAAAAAAAAAAAAAAAAAAAAAAGAAAGAAAGAAGAATAATGAGTTATATAAATAATTCAAAATCCTATCAAATAAGAGTTTTATTTCTACAAGATAAGAGAAAATATATTTTTTCTTCCAAATCATCTGCCAACCTGATTTCAAACCCAGTCCACATTAAATTATTCTCATTAAAATTAGAATTACCACTGGAATGCCAGTCATGTATGACTATGTAGCATTATTATGTATGTTCTATCTAACAAAGTGATAAAGAAAACCAAATGAGTTATGCTGGAAAGACCATATAATTACTCTCTTTATTATATTTACCAAATAGCACTTAATTTATATAGTTGTTTTACATAGCAATTCTGTGCTCAGGAATTTATCATTTAGATATGCATGTACTTGTTGCTAAAGATGCATGGGTCAATTGATTTTACACTCCAGAAAGGCAGGGATTATGAGTGTTTTGTTTATGATTGCATACACAACACCTAGCCCAGCACTTGGCCCATGATAATGAGAGCCATAAATGATTCTGTACTATAGGTCAGTTTGTCCTCCAAGCACTTTACAGAAATCAATACATTTGATTCTCACAACCACCTTAATGATAGATGTTATTACAAATGAGGCTTGTAGTGATTATGTGACTTGTCTAAGGTCAAACAAACAGTAAGTAATGAGACAAGAATTTGAACCTCAACATTCTGATTCCAGAACTACTTTTGATCATTCTGATACTTAAGGCTTTTCATATGTAGAAATCACAAAGCTGTTGTACAAAAAATTACTTTTTGACTATTATATGTGGAATGAATAAAAAGATGAAAAAGATGTATAAATAAATTATTGAATGACAATGCCAATTGTTACCAATTTATAAAAATAAAAAGAAAATAATAAATATAGCAAGAGCAAAAAAATAACACAGACTGATAAAATAAAAATTGGTTAATTCATCTAAAGGAATCTACAAAATCATTAAGAACAGTGATAAATCTCAATGTACACAAGTATGGGAAGACATGGTGCTATGTGAAAGGCAAATATCAAGTGTGATACACAGAATAATGACCCCTCAAAAACATCCGTGTTCTAATTCCCAGAACATGTGAACATATTACATGGCAATGGGAAAATTAAGGTCACAGATAGAATTAAGGTTGCTAATCTGCTGACCTTGAGATGAAAAGATCCTGGATTAGTCAAGTGAACTCAATGTAATTACAAGTGTTCTTGTGAATGAAAGAGTGAGGCAGGAGGATCACTTTCAGAGTCAAAGAGAGATGTGAACATGCTACACTGCTAACTTTGAACATGGAAGGGAGTCACAAGCTAGTGAATGTGGGCAGCTTATATATGCTAGAAAAGGCAAGTCAACAAATTTTCCCCTAAAGCTTCCAGAAATAATGCAGCTCTGCCAATACCTTGATTTTAGCCTTGGGAGATTCATTTCAGATTTGGGGCCTCTAGAATTGTAAGAAAATAATTTGCAATGTTTCAAGCCACCAAATTTGTGGTAATTTGTTGCAGCAGCAACAGGACAAACATATACCAAGTTGGAGAAGTATATTTCATTTTTATATATAAAAGCATATATAATTAGGGTAATATTATTACACGCAGTTTAAAAACCTTATCTTCTTTAGATTTGTATTTTCTCACTTTGCAGAACATTTGTAATTATTACATATATATTGCTATATAATACGCTGTCAGGAAATAATAATAATATGTAAAATAGATAGAGCAATATTTAAATAGGGAAAAATACACACACATGAATATGAGTTTAAAGATATATAATAATGAACCATGTTATTTGTTGTATTTTCACATAAATTGCCCTTTCCAGTTGCAAATAACTATTTTCTTAAGTTTTCAAATTTTTTTTTTTTTTTTGAAACAGGTTCTCACTCTGTCATCCAGGCTGGAGTGCAGTCCCACAATCATAGCTCTACGTAATCTTGAACTCTGGTGCTCAAGTGATCCTCTTGCCTCAGCCTTCAAAGTAGCTAGGACTATAGGGGCATACCATTACACCCAGCTATTTTTTTTTTTGACAGAGGTTCTCACTTTGTCACCCAGGCTGGAGTGCAGTGGCATGATCTTGGCTCACTGTAGCCTCTAACTCCCAGGCTCAAACAATCATCCTGCCTCAGCCTCCTAAGTAGCTGGGACTATAGGCGCACCACCATGCCCAGCTAATTTTTAAAAAATTTTTTCATAGAGACAGGGTCTTGCTATGTTGCCCAGGCTGGTCTTGAACTCCTGGACTCAAGCAATCCACCCACCTCGGCCTCCCAAAGTGGTGGGGTTACAGGTTTGAGCCACTGTGCCTGGCCCCAGCTAATTTTTTAATCTCACTATGTTGACAAGGCTGGTCTCAAGCTCCAGGCCTCAAGTGATCCTCCCACTGCAGCCTCCCAAAGTGCTGGGATTACAGATGTCAGCCACTGTACCAGGCAATTTCCAAAATTTCTACAATCTGCCTGTGATACATGTAAAATTCTCAGAAAAAGCAATAAACATTATTATTTATTTATTTATTTATTTATTAATGTCTTTTGAGATGGAATTTCGCTCTTGTTGCCCAGGCTGGAGTGCAATGGCACAATCTCGGCTCACTGCAATCTCCGCCTACCAGGTTCAAGCAATTCTCCTGCCCCAGCCTCCCGAGTAGCTAGGATTACAGGCATGCGTCACCATGCCCAGCTAATTTTTGTATTTTTGGTAAAGACGGGGTTTCACCATGTTGGCCAGGATGGTCTCGATCTCTTGACCTCGTGATCCGCCTGCCTCGGGCTCCCAAAGTGCTGGGATTACAGGCGTGAGCCACTGAGCCCAGCCATTATTTTTATTTTAAATATAACTTGGATTTTACACACTGCTCGTGGAAGGTGACACAAGAGACATTAATAAACCAGTTATCTTTTAAAATCAAAGGTTGGTGCCTGAAAATTGATGTTCCCAAATTCACCAAAGCAGAAAGGTGAACAAAATATTTCAGTTCATTATCATAAACGTCCAACATATTTTTATCTACATGTAAAAAAAAACCATGCACATCTTATAAGAAAACATGGCAAAAATAACTTCACAGCTTGAGTCAAAGAAAAAGTTGGCATTGATGAAAATGTGTGCATATATTCTAAATAAAATTTGAAAGGCAGGCACATAAATGTGGGTAACACCTTCATCATTTTTATGCTAACAGGGCTGAAAGGAAAAGAATTAATTACAACCAATCATTGAAGGCTCCAGGCAGTAGTGAAGTTTTTTTATATTTTTCTAGACTCATCTTCCATTTTTTCACTAAGCACTTATATTAGTTTCCTATTGCTGTATAACAAATTGCCACAAACTTAGTGGCTTAAAACAATATACATTTATTATCTCAAAGTTTCCAAGGGTCAGAAGTCTGGATACAAGCCTGTTGGTTTCTCTGATTAGCTTTTCACAGGCTGAAATCAAGGGGACAGCCAAGGCCATGATGTCATAGAAGGTTGGAAGTCGTCTTCCAAGCTCACTGGTTATTGTCAGAATTCATTCCCTTGTAAATGTAGGAATGAAGTTGTCATTTACTTGCTGACTGCCTGTCTAGGACTGCTCTTGGCTCACAGAGTTCCCTCTCAGCTCTTCACAGCAGTTCATAGCTTGGTTGTCTGCTTCTTCAAAGCTAGCAAGTGAACAATTTCTGCTGCTTAGAATCTCTCTGACTTGTTTCAAGTATTGACCTGATTAGGTTGGGTATACCTCAGATAATCTTCCTTTTGATTAACCTAAAGTCAATTATTCAGGATTTAATTACATCTGCAAAATCCTTTTGCAGCAACATCTGGATCAGTGTTTGATTAAAAACTGGGCACATATGTGTACACCAGGGCTAGGGAATCCTGGGAAACACTGAGAATTTTACATACTTCATACTCTAACTATTAAACTGTTGACTCTTTCACTAAAGGTCCTGGACTTTTTCACCTCTGTTCTGCATTTCTCATGTCATCCTCCATGTTGGAAAGCCCCTATCATGTTTCAGTAGGAGAATTTTTAAAATTTTATTTTTTAACACCCTTATTGAGATATAATTCACATACCAAATAATTCAGTCATGTAACATGTACAATTCAGTGATTTTCACTGTATTCAAAGAGTTGTGTAACTTTCCCCACAATTCATTAAAAAACATTTTTACTACCTCAAAAAAATAAAAAAATTAGAAACCCAGATTGACAGCAGCGAGATGGCTGACTAGAATTGCCTGGTGTTCATCTTCCCCACAAAAAAGGACCAAAAGAACAAATAAACAACTGTAATACAATAAGAGCCTGTGAAGAAGCGTGGGGGAGTACAGCAAGGGAGTGGTGAAGTCCCTGTGGATCATAGAAAGCGAGGATAGCAGCATAGAGAGAAGAGCAAGGCACCCTACCTCTGCTGCCCCATCTCTTCTGCCAGGATCAGATGAGCTCAGAGTCAGGAGGGAGTTCCCTTTGTGAGGAAAAGGTAAGTAGGAGGCCCCCAACACCCCACATTACTACCACAGACACCTGCAGTTTTTGCTGTAGAAGAATCCACCAGTCCTCACAGGCCCTGAGCCCAGTTTGGGGAGCTGCTTAGAATTCAGGTGGCTACCTTGTTCCAGAGGAGGAGATTACATTGTGCACTGCCTCCGGCCCCATGACCCAAGCTGTTACAGCATATTGCCATTCTGAAACCAGAGTCACTGCTGGGGTGTGTCCTGCTCTGGGGGCCAGTAGCCTCTGCATCTGTCCTGTCCTAAGGCTCTGCCATCATTCTACTATGCTCACATAGGTGGCTGCAATGCAATGATCTTACCTGCTCAGAGTGAAGCCACAAATAGGTGTAACTCCAATGCCCAGGCCCATGTGATGTCCTGACCCTCAAGGAACAGGTGGTTCTGCATAGTGTGAAAACTAACCTTGTGTGGGCCAGGCAAACTGCCATGCACTAGAGCCCCCAGCAGGAGAAAAAGTTTCAGTGACCTCCCCCTGGAAGCCCTACCCTCAATCTGGCTGAACTGCTGTGGGCCTGCACCCTCTCCAGAGAAACAGCCTGGCTGCCACACTCCAAAACTAACCAAACCAGCATGTTCCTGCATCCTTGGCTGAAGAAACAAACCAGCAAAACTTTCTCTGGGAACCCTGCCCTAGAGTTAGCAGAACTGTTTGTTGTGCACCTGCACCCTCAGCCTGAAAAAGAGACTAAGGACCCTATTTCCAGTGATTTTGGCTTCTCACTGGCCAACCTATGATACACCGTGTCCCCAGCCTGAGAACAAATTCAGTGAAGCCACCTCTGACAAAACTGTGCCACCATTGCCACCATAATCTCCTTTAGCCTAGGCAGCGAAGGCATTGGTAGACATCTCTGACATGGATTATAGGAGAATAAACTGCATGGAAACTATACTACTACAGTTATCCAGAATCAAAACTAATGCACACCATCCAACTGACTCCCTAGGACCCATCTACAGGAATAATTCTCTGCCTACAAAAGCTGCTCCACAAAATTGAAAAAGGTAGGCTGTTTCACCAGATGTTCAGATATCAACATACGGACACAAGGAACATGAAAAAGCAAGGAAACATGACACCTTTAAAGGAATACAATATTTCTCCAGTAACAGATCCCAAAGGAAAAAAATATATATAATGTCTGAAAAAGAACTAAAAATAATAATCTTAAGAAAACTCAGTGAAAAATAAGGATTATAAATAATTCAATAAAATCAGCAAAACAATTTACTATCTGAATAGAGAAATTCAACACAGAGATAAATATAAGAAAAATAATCTTGGAGCTGAAGAACTCAATAAATGAAACAAAAAGCACAATTGAGACCTTCAACAACAGACTAGATCAAGAAGAAAAAAGAATTTCTGAGTCTGGGTATGATGGCTCATGCCTATTATCCCAGCACTTTGGGAGGCCAATGGGGGAGGCTAGCTTTAGGCCAGGAGCTCAAGACCAGCCTGGGCAACATAGGAAGACCCCCATCTCTACAAAAAATAAATAAATAAACATAGCCTTGAGTGGTGGCATGCACCTGCGATTCCAGCTACGCAGAAGGCTGAGGTGGGAAAATTGCTTGAGCCCAGGAGGTTGAGGCTGCAGTGAGCCATGATCACATCCCTGCACTTCAGCCTGGGCAACAGAGTAAGACCCTATCTTAAAATAAATAAATAAATAAATAAAATTCTGAATTCAAAGATCTTTTGAAATAACAAATTTAATAAAGTTACAGGATACACAACATAAAAATCAGTAGCATTTCTATATACTAATATATGCTATATGTATTAGCATTTCTATATGCTAATATATGCTATATGTATTAGCATTTCTATATGCTAGTAATGAACTATCTGAAAGAGAAATCAAGAAAACTTTCCCATTAAGAGAAGCTATTAAAAAATAAGTTACCTAGAAATAAATTGAACCAAGGTGGTGAAGCTCTCTTCACTGAGAATGATAAAATATTGTTTAAAAAAATTGAAGAGTATGAAAATAAATGGAAAGATATCCCCTGTTCAGGGATTGTAATTAATATTGTTAAAATGTCCATGCTGGCTGGGCGCAGTGGCTTATGCCTGTAATCCCAGCACTTTGGGAGGCTGAGGTGGGCAGATCACGAGGTCAGGAGTTTGAGACCAGCCTGGCCAATATGATGAAACCCCTTCTCTACTAAAAATGTAAAAATTAGCTGGGTGTGGTTGCACGTGCCTGTAGTCCCAGCCACTCAGGAGGCTGAGGCAGGAGAATCATTTCAACCGGGAGGCAGAGGTTGCAGTGAGCCGAGATCGTACCACTGCACTACAGCCTGGGTGACACAGCTAGACTCCATCTCAAAAAACAAACAAACAAACAAAATGTCCATGCAAAGTATACATTCAATGGAATCTCTAACAAAATACCAATGATGTTCTCCATAGAAATAAAAAAAAAAATCCTCAAATTCATGTAGAATGACAAAAGACCCTGAATAGCCAAAGAAATCTTGAGCAGAAAATAAACAAACCAAACCAAACAAAAAAACAGAACAAAAAACCCAACAACAAACAAAACAACAACAACAACAACAAAGCTGGAGGCATCACACTGGCTGATTTCAAAATATGCTTCAAAGCTAGAGTAACCAAAACAGTATAGTATTACTACAAGAACACAGATACACATACCAGTGGAACAGATAGAGCCTAGAAATAAATCCACAAATCTCCAGCTAACTGACTTTCAATAAAGGTGCCAAGAAAATCGGATTATGGAAAAAGAATAATCATTTTAATAAATGGTACTAGAAAAATTGGATAACCATATGCAGAAAAATAAAACCAGACCCTTATATTTTACCATATTTAAAAATCAACTGTAAATGGATTGAAGATTTAAATGCAAGACCTGAAACTATTAAACTACTAGAAAAAAACATATAGGGGAAATGATTCATGACGTTGGACTACGCAAATATTTTTTGGATAAGAGCTCAAAAGCATAATGAACAAAAGCAAAAATAGATAAATGGGATTACACTAAACTTAAAAAACCTTCTGCACAGAAAAGGAAACAATAAACAGAATGAAGAGACAACCTAAAGAATGAGAGAAAATATTTCCAACCTTTATATCTGGCAAAGGTTACTATCCAGAATATATAAGAAATTCGAACAATTCGAAAGCAAATAATAATAGTAATAATAGTATCCTGATTTAAAAACTGTACAGAACACCTTAGCAGACATTTTTCCAAAGAAGATATACAAAAGACCGACAGGTATACGAAAAAATGCTATCACTAATTATCAGG
Organism: Homo sapiens; assembly: GCF_000001405.40. NCBI lineage: Eukaryota > Metazoa > Chordata > Mammalia > Primates > Hominidae > Homo > Homo sapiens. The sequence goes on from NC_000002.12 coordinate 52,329,767, forward strand.
AAAATGCAAATCAAAATCACAATGAGATTATCACCTCACCCCAAGTTAGAATGCCTATTATCAAAAAGACAAAAGATAACAAGTCTTGGTGAGGATATGAAGAAAAGGGAACCCTTACACATTATTCATTGAAATGTTAAGTTAATACAGCAATTATGGCAAATACTATAGAGATTCCTCAAATTATTACAAATATGACTGCCATGTGACCCACCAATCCCACTACTGGGAATATATATGAAGGAAAGGAAATTAAAGCGATATCTGCACTTCCATGTTGGCAGCACTATTCACAATTGCCAAGATAAGGAATCAACCTTAGTGTTCAACAACAGATGAATAGATTAAGAAAACTGTGGTATATATGCTCAATGGAATACTATTTGTTCATTTAAAAAAACAGAACAAAATCTTATTTTACATGAATGAATCTGGAAGACATTATGGTAAGTAAAATAAGTTAGAACCAGAAAAACAAATACCACATTCTCACTCATATGCAGCATCTAAAAAAGTTGATCTCATAGAAGTAGAGAACACTGGTTAGCAGAGACTGGTAGGTAGGAGGGAGGAGGAAATAGTGGAGAGGATGGTCAATGGGTACAAAGTTATAATTAGAAAGAAAGAATAAGTTCTGATGTCCTATATTGCACAGTAGGGTTACTCTAGTCGGCAATAAGTTATTATATATCTCAAAATAGCTAAAAGAGAGGATTTTGCGTGTTCCTACCCTAAAGAAATAATAAATATTTGAGAAGTTGAATATGCTAATTACCCTGATTACTGCAAAAAGTACACATGTATCAAAACATCACATTGTATCCCATAAATATGTACAATAATTATGTCAATTAAAAATAAAAAAGAAACCCATATCCATTAGCAGTTAATCTCAATTTCCCCCAGCTATCCTCCCCCATCCTAGCCCTAAACTACTATTTTTTTCCTCTATAGATTTGCCTATTCTGGATATTTAATATAAATAGGGTATATAACATGCCATCTTTTTTTTTTTTTTTTTTGAGACAGAGTCTTGCTCTGTCACCAGGCTGGAGTGCAGTGGCGTGATCTCAGCTCACTGCAATCTCCACCTCTGAGGTTCAAGGGATTCTCCTGCCTCGGCCTCCCAAGTAGCTGGGACTACAGGCACGTGCCACCATGGCAGCTAATTTTTGTATTTTTAGTAGAGATGGGGTTTCACAATGTTGGCCAGGATGGTCTCAATCTCTTGACCTCGTGATCTACCCGCCTCAGCCTCCCAAAGTATGCCATGTTTTATGACCAATTTCTTTCACTTAGAATGCCTTCAAGTTTCATCCATGTTCTAGCATATATTGGTATTTCATTCCTTTTTATTGCTGAGTAAAATTTTATTGTATGTACAGGCAACATTGTATTTACTCATTCATCAGCTGATGGACATTTGAGCTGTTTCTACTTTTTGCCTGCTATGAACATGCTGTTACGAACATTTTTGTACGTCTTTTTGTGGACGTATGTTTTTGTCTCTGTTACCTGGGGGTGGAATTGCTAGGTTATGGTGAATCTATGTTTTGAAGAACTTCAAGATTGCTTTCCAAAAGAGAATTCATTTGCATTTAATTTTGCATTCCTGTCAGTACTGCATAGGAGTCCAATTATTCACATCATTGTCAAAACTTGCTATTATATATCTATTTTACTATAGCCATCCTCGTGGGTATGAAGTTTGTAGTTTTGATTTCCACTTCTTTAATGGCTGATGTTGTTGAGCATCATCTGAAGTACTTAGTGACCATTTGTATATTTTCTTGGACCTCTTGATCTTTGAGGTTCATCTAAAAGATCCCCTCCTACCTGAAGCTTTCTCTAATTCTGCTAGCCAGTTGTGATTTGTTCTCCTCTGATTCATAACTGCACTCTTGTGTTGAACTTAATTATTGATCACTCTGTGTAAGATACCATACCAAGAGTAATTGAAAATACATTTGTGAAGCAGATATTGATTGACATTTGGTCCTCAAGAAGTGTACAACCATGTCAAAGAGATAAAACGTATGTGTTCAGGTCACATTGCATGCTTGCTTTCTTCCTTCTAGTTTGTAAAATTAATAGCATGAGATTGCTATCTTATGGCTCAGTGTTATAAATAAAGCCAATAAATATTAATTGAATTGAACTGTAATCCCAGCCTAAATTATGTCTAATTTGGGGATAAACTTAAGAAAAAAACTAAAGTAACAAAACACTTAACTTAAAATTATTGTCATTTTCCCTCTTGAAATCTTCCAACTTTCAGGTGAAAGTTTCTTAAAACACAGCCAAATTAGCTCAAACCACCTGACCACTTAAGTCTTTCTCTCTAATGTATAAAATCGTATTATAAAATTTTGAAAGAGGGTTATCTCAAATGGCCTCATTTATTTCCTATAAAAAATGCAAATCTCTAAACATTTAATTCCATTTGAATATTATATTCATCTTTCAAAATCAAGCTGAAATGCCTCTTCTTTCATAGTCTTTTTCTGTTTTTGTAAGGCAGTTACTTGATGTCTCTTTCTCTATTCTTCCTATTTTATGTTTTAGGTCCTTAATAGCAATTGTCATGTTGAATTGTGGTTAGCTATTTATGCCCAGCTCTCTCCATAAACTGTTTATGCTATATACCGTAGTGAGTTTCTCTATAAATTCAATTTCCTAGCTCCTATTATTGTTGCTGTAAAATCCATTTGATTAGATGTTATCAATTTTAGATAATTCAGTGAGCATTATTGAATCTATTACCAATAGAATCTATTACCAATAGAAAGCAAGAGGTTTTTGCTATTTGTAAAATTTTTCTATAGACTGGAAAGGCAGCAGTGGCAAGTATATTTAAAGTCTATTGTTTATTTTATGCTTTCCTCATAGAAAAGAATATTATATGAATTATTTGATATACAGTATCCTAGTTCCTTTATTTGGGCTAAAATAATATATTTCTTCACCATTAAAAATCCACCTTCACCTGAGGATTTAACAAATGATTAATTTTGTTTCTCTTTTTATTTTTTGAGATGGAGTTTTGCTCTCATTGCCCAGGCTGGAGTGCAGTGGTGTGATCTCGGCTCACTGCAACCTCCACCTCCCGGGTTCAAGCTATTCTCCTGCCTCAGCCTCCAGAGTAGCTGGGACTACAGCTGCCTGCCACCACGCCCAGCTAATTTTTGTATTTTTAGTGGAGACAGGGTTTCACCATGTTGGCCAGGCTGGTCTCAAACTCCTGATCTCAGGTGATCCTCCCTGCTCGGCCTCCCAGAGTGCTGGGATTACAGACGTGAGCCACTGCGCTCGGCCTTGTTTCTCAGTTTTAAAGAATTATTTAAAATTAGCTATGTTATCTTATCAAAAAAATTTCAACAGCAGAAAGAAATATTAAGTAGCCAAACTTAAAACAAACCAAAGAGGTTATGCAGGTCAACATAAACACTTTGAGATAAATGCAATTATCAAGAGAACATATTTTAAAATACTGTGCAGAATTTATAACAGAGAAAAGTTGGTGACATAATTTATTTTGCAATCTAATCTTTTTTTTTTTTTTTTTGCCAGAGTTTGATGGTTTTCTAAAATAATCTTTTAAGGAGCAAGAACTTCCCATTTGAATTGATATTTATGGTTAATAAGATTTGAAAAATTTGAAGGACAGCATTTAAATCTCTTTGTCACTGCTATGGCTTGCACTAAAATGAATGCCCGGCCCTATAGGAAATTTGTTTTAAGCCCACAATAAATACGTCACTTAACCACTCTAGGACTCAACATTTTTTTCTTGAAAAATAGGGAACAAATAAATGTTTTTAATGCCCCTCCCAGATCGAACATTGTATGATCTTTCTGCTAATTTTTAAATCATTTTATAGGGAAAAACTTGATAGGTACTCTTTTACATTAGATCATGTTAGAAAAGGAACAAAGAGAAATAAACAGCTCTATTCTAACGTAATATCTACTTTGTGCTATTTTTAAATATATTTTACTTTATACTTCCAGTGATGTTGTAAGACATTTATAGCTCTGTATTAAAGATAAAAATGAACAGATCATCAAATTTAAAACAAAACAAAACAAACTTTGTTCCAGATCACATGGTTAGTAGATAACCCAGCTGAGATTTAACCCCAAGGCTCGCTCTGTTTATATATCTCATTAAGTATACCTTGTATGTTATTTTTACAATCTATTCAAAACTCAGTGTCTAAGTTTAATATAGACATGTAATATACACTAGATTTCGCTCTAGATTATTAATGACAACCTTCTCATCCCCATTTCCTCCCACTCAATGTCAAACACAAGGTTACTTTTAGCAAAGTATACCTATAGGGGAGAAAAACTTTCTCACCCATTGCAAGGTTCATTGCTGAGGCCCCTATAACAGAAGACAAATTAAGAGAAAATGCACATTTATCAAATACAAGTTTTCATGACATAGAAGCCTTCCTAAAAGAAGATCCAAAGAAATAAGAGAAACTATATTTTTGTGGTAAAGCATATCAGAGGCATTCGAACAAGAGTGACTACCTTGAATAGCAGCTGGGCAAAATTAGGCTGAGACCTGCTGGGCTTGAATTCCCAGGAAGTTAGGCATTTTTAGTCACAGGATGAAATAGGAAGTTGGCACAAGATACACAGTCATAAAGACCTCGCTGATAAAACAGGATGTAGTAAAGAAGCCAGCTAAAACTCATCAGAACCAAGATGGTGATCAAAGGGACCTTTGGTATTCATCACTGCCCATTATATGCTAATTATAATGCACTGGCATGCTAAAAGACATTTCCACCAGCGCCATGACCGTTTACAAATGCCATGGCAACATCAGGAAGTTACCCTATATGGCAGGGGTCCCCAACCTGCGGGCTGTGGACCAGTACCCATCCATGGACTATTAGGAATCACGCAGCACAGCCACAGATGAGTAGCAGGCGAGTGAGAATTACCACCTGAGCTCTGCCTCTAGTCAGATCAGCGGTGGCATTAGATTCTCATAGAAGTGCAAACCCTATTGTGAACTGCACATGCGAGGGATCTAGGTTGCACACTCCTTATGAGATTCTAATTAATGCCTGATGATCTGAGGTGGAACAGTTTCATCTCAAAACCACACCGTACACTGCCACCCTCTAAAAGAAATTGGTCCCTGGTGCCAAAAAGGTTGGGGACCACTTCTATATGGTCTAAAAAGGGGAGGAACCCTCAGTTCTGGGAATTGCCTACCCCTTTCCTGGAAAACTCATAAACAACCCCTTGCTTAGCATATAATCAAGAAATAACTGTAAGTATACTCAGTCGAGCAGCCCACACCGCTGCTCTGCCTATGGAGTAGCCATTCTTTCGGTACTTTTGTTTCTTAATAAACATCCTTGCACTTTACTCTGTGGACTACACCTGAATTATTTCCTGTACAAGGTCCAATAATCCTCTCTTGCGGTCTGGATGGAGATCCTTTTCTGATAACAGTCATGCAAGTGTATAATTAGAGGACGAAGGCTATGGTAATAAACTAGGTTAACTTAGCAAGGTCTATTAGTGCAGATTCTTCTCCGTGTTCCTGTATGGTATTCTTTTCCTCTAGGTATAGGGTGGACACATCTGGAATGAAGGTTCTATGACCTACCTTAGAGAGAGGCCAGCAAATTCTCTTATAGCCTCCTTCAAGGGAAAAGGGTGAGGGAAAGGTGAGAGTGAACTTCCTGCTTCAGTTCCTTCCTGCTTCTGCTCCTTCTTCAAATGCCAAGATGCTATATTTTGGAGTAGCATGTCCTGAACCCCATTTCACCTAAGGCTTACCCAAGAGTTTTATTTTAAATCGTCCCTCTATTGTCACATCAGGAACACTCTTGGAGTTAACATTTAAATGAAAATGCATATTTAGATAATTAATATATTTCAACACAATCAGAGATGCCAAGATTATACAAGCAATTGCTGGCAGACCTTTAAAAAGTGTTAAATTCCACTGGCTGTTTTTACATGTAACTTGTTAGAAGCAGCATTTCACTCTCAACCAATGGAGGGGAAAAACAATTATATTGTGAAATCCAAAATAATGACTCCATTCCACCATCCTGTGTTACTTAAGTCTGCTAATTGTTTTATTTTGAATCCCTGTGGTTTGGTTAATTTAGGTGATTGAAGTTCTTTGAAAACCTCCACTCTTGCCAAACTTGGCTTTTGATGAGTCACTTTGAAGTGACTTGGGTGCCTTGGTGAAAGGTAGACAAATACAGTCCCACCCCACCAGGTGTCCTTGCCTTCGAAGGCTTACTAACTCCCCAGGTCCAGGAGCTAAATTCTATTTGGCTGCTTTTAAGGAGAATCCTGAAGTCAGGATACAATAATATTGTGCAAAACTGAATGTTTAAAACTACTTCCCAAGTCATTCTGAATTTCATTATGTAATAGAAATGGCCAATTCTAGCATAGTTATATTCCAGAATATCCTCACATAAAAGTTGATTTGGAAAAAAATAAAAATTACAAATTGAAGTATAAGGTTATTTGAGCTTTGACTGAATATAATTGTTTTGTCACATTTCTCCCTTTCTAAAGTAAATGTATGTGAGTACTGAATAATATTAATTCAGGAATGGCAATGCTTGAAAAGTAGGAATTGAGTTGATAATAAGGAAATTTTCCAGATGGTTTTAAATTATAATTCAGCTCAGAACCCAGGTTTCCGTCAACATTTTTTGCCCAAAAATTAAATGATAAATTTTAACATTAAATCCTGACATGTTCAGGATAACTCATTAATGCAGTGGAATAATATTTCTCAGTATATTCTAATAAGAGGATCCCTTTAAACATGAAAAATATTGGGAAACATACAAATGATAATAATCATTCAAACTGGGAAATTCATTGCTTTTTTCATGGACTTAAAAAAGTATTTAAAAAACTACTGTTAAATCAATAGTGGTAAATTATTTAATAGGAATTATAGCAATGAAACCACCTTCGAAAAATTATAACTGAGGAAATTATGATGGGGAAAGGGAGAGAGAGCAGAACCAACCAACCCCATCTTGCTTCTAACCTCTAAGCTGTCCTAGTTCATTCTCAATTAACCTTGGGAAGCAATTTAGTTTACAGTTTAACTTTGAAACAAAAATAATAATAGCTCTTCCCCAGAAAAAAACAAAACAAACAAACAAAAAAAACCTTTTGTGCCTGGGGACCAGTCTGCCTTTGTAGGACCAACAAATTAGCTACAAGATTAGAAATTACAATTTAGGGGCCATGGAGCAAGAGTCTGAATTTCCCCAAATTGCTCCTGGGAATAATATCACTGTCATAAAACCTAAGATCAGTGCTTGAGATATTGTACAAACCCTGCGTTCCAATGCACCAGCTGACACTGCCCAGACCAGTAATCTGAGTCAACCAAATCTGTGATTCCATCCAGGAACAGAAGACAGCAAGAACTTACTTCAACCCACTATGATTTCATCTCCAACCCGACCAATCAGCACTCCCCACTTCCTGAGCCTCTACCCACCAAATTATCTTGAAAAATTTGGATTCCCCAGTTTTCAGGGAGACTGATTTGAGTAATAATAAAACTCCAGTCTCCCTCACAGAATGCTCTGAATGAATTACTCTTTATTGCAATTTCTCTGTCTAAATTGGCTCTGTCTAGGCAGTAGGCAAGCTGAACCCATTAGGCAGTCATACCAATATCCACATTTATTAAAAATATGTATTTAAATAAAGTTTATTATTCAAACCTCAATAAGGTTTGTTGTACATTTAGATTAACAGGCAACTTGCAACAAATCTATGACTCTCCAGAATTATTCTGCCTCATGTTTGGTATCCAATGTTGGAAAAAATAGAAAAAAAAAAAAAAAAAGAATTGGTTTCTAGCCCGTGTCAGGCCTCTGAGCCCAAGCTAAGCCATCATATCCCCTGTGACCTGCACGTATACATCCAGACGGCCTGAAGTAACTTAAGAATCACAAAAGAAGTGAAAATGGCCTGTTCCTGCCTTAACTGATGACATTACCTTGTGAAATTCCTTCTCCTGGCTCATCCTGGCTCAAAAGCTCCCCCACTGAGCACCTTGTGACCCCCGCCCCTGCCCGCCAGAGAACAACCCCCTTTGACTGTAATTTTCCACTACCCACCCAAATCTTATAAAACAGCCCCACCTCTATCTCCCTTCGCTGACTCTTTTTTCTGACTCAGCCCGCCTGAACCCAAGTGATTAAAAAGCTTTAGTGCTCACACAAAGCCTGTTTGGTGGTCTCTTCACACGGACACGAGTGAAAGCCCGAATTTTGAAAATAATTATTTTCAGAAGTTATGTAAGTAAACTGACATCTTGGTAATGCACTTTATTCTCTAGGCTTAATTTTCTTCCCTACCAAAATCAAGGGCTGAATTTTATGATTTTCATGATCCCTTTTAGCATTTCCTTCTGATACATTAATCCATTTTTATGAATTTTAAAAAGTGTTGTGATTTTTCTTGCTATTATAGCAGTGTTATGACATATAGATTGAATAACTGAGTATTAATTCACATTCTTGGATCAATTTCTGTCTACAGCAAAACATATTTTGCTTAATTATTTGTATATTTTAAGTGAAAATATTGTGTGACCTGAGGTATCAAGATCATTGCTTTAATAAACCATTTAACCACCTTTTTTTTTTTTTTTTTTTTTTTTTCAGAATAGCCAGTGTTTCCTAGTAATTTATTTTCTAAAAACATAAAGATCCCCAGAAGCGTGATACCAGGCACTCTTTGTCACTGCCACAACCTTTGTTCCATATGTTTGAAATTTACCATATGCTTTGTTGAACTCTGAATATCTTTTCAGAACTTATGTAAGTAAATTAACATCTTGGTAATGCACTTTAACTGAGACAGGTCTCAGTTAATTTAGAAAGTTCAGTTTGCCATGGTTGAGATGGGCACCTACAACACAGCCTCAGGAGGTCTCGATGACATGTGCCCAAGGTGGTCAGAGCACAGTTTGGTTTTATACATTTTGGGGAGACTTGAGACATTGATCAACATATGTAAGATGAACATTGGTTCTGTCTGGAAAGACTGGACAACTCGAAGCAAGGGTGGGACAACTGGAAGCAGGGAGGGGGTTTCCAGGTCATAGGTAGGTAAGAGACAAACAGTTGCATTCTTTTGAGTTTCTGATTAGCCTCTCCAAAGGAGGCAATCAGATATGCATTTATCTCAGTGAGCAGAGGGGTGACTTTTAATAGAATGGGAGGCAGGTTTGACCTAAGCAGCTGCCAGCTTCACTTTTAGCTTAGTGATTCTGGGGACTTCAGATTTATTTTTCTTTCACAGCTTCAATTCTACCAAAGGTGTCAGTAGTCAGAACAGTCATGGATATTTAGCAATGTTCGCTGCATTAAAATTGTATTAATTCCTGTCTTCCTTTTTGTGCTTCAGAAATATCAGACATGGAATGGATTTTACTTCAGATAATTAAGAATTGGCTCTTTGATCTTGGTTCCAGGCAAATTACCTCTGAGTTTGTGACAACAGAAAATGTAACTTTGTAATTTCTTACTACAATTCACTACCGATTTTTAAAAGTGTCTTGAAAACTCATTGTATCAATGTCAATTGTGACTTTTACATAATGCTAAATTTTCAATTCATTTTTCCTTTATTTTTTAAGTAACAAATAACTTTCTAGTATCTATAATTTTTTAACTGGCTCTTCTAAAATAAATAAATAAATATATATATATACACACATATATATGTATATATATGTATATACGTACATACACACACACACACACACACACACAAGCCAGTAATCTCTTTTTCACTGCCACAATCTTTGTTCCATATGTTTGAAATTTACCATATGCTTTGTTGAACTCCGAATATCTTTTCAAAACTTAAGTAAGTAAATTAACATCTTGGTAAAGAAAAAATATCATTACAGTTAATGCTTAAGGATACATAAATTCCATAAAGAAATACCAACTACTATTAATAATATCAGATAAAATAATGGAAAGGATACTATAATAGAAGTCAGTAATTAAAACAGAATAAAGAAGGAAAGAAAGGAGGAAGAGAGAAAGGAAGGAAGGAAAAAGGAAAATGAGCAGAACTGATAAAATCATTCTTCATGCTGCTGTGTGTAAGGAATTAGATGTACCAGCAGAACTCACTTGTTTCTTCTACTTCTCTCTCCATGCCTACAATGCCAAATCAGTATCTCATTTTGCTTTTTTTGAACAAAGAACATAAGGTGAAAATGTTGTCAGTGTTTGAGAAATGTACTGCCTTAGGTTCTGCCCCTTTCTCCTCTGCTCTCCTTTTGCTCTTCTTGGTTTGTTGGTTTATTTCAATCCCCTAGTCACCGTTTCCTTTCTCTATTTCTTCCAACATAAATAGAAGGAGAACTCCTGAACACATGTTTTTATGTTCTCTCTTCTTCCCAAATAAAAGAGGATGGGAAAGAGCAGGCTGTGGTTGGTGAATGGTGAGTGGTTTTGCTCATCAACATGCATACTGGTTTGTCTCTTTAGCTCTTTGCACACTAAATGCTGCTTATCACATGGGCATTGAGTGAGCTCATAAAAGCCCCTGGAAGCAGGCAACATCAATCCTCTGGCTTCCAGCTCCCTCCTCTGTTGCAGTGAGGCCACATTTGGCTGCTGCACTTGACAGAATCAGTTTTCATTGGCTAAAACTGTTTTTTGCTTCAGAGCTCTCAAAACTGCCTTGGGAAAAACAAAACAACAACAAAAAACGTGGTCTGTTTTTCCCTTTCATGCAGCTTTTGGGACAGCCCAACATTACTGGCTTGTGTGTGTGTGTATGTACATACATACATACATACGTACATATATATATATATATTTATTTATTTATTTTAGAAGAGCCAGTTAAAAAATTATCTTTATAGATACTAGAAAGTTATTTGTTACTTAAAAAAAAAAGGAAAAAAATGAATTGAAAATATGTCAGATCATTCATAGTGCATTCATCAACAGTAGCAGCTCCCTAACCCTTAGAATCAATGTACTAGTGATGGGCCACTATATCAATTTTAAACTATCAGAAGAAGAAAAGAAGTAAAGAGGACCTCAGTAATCTGATTAAGTATTGCAGGTGAGAGAGAGCAGATCAACATGAACAGCAATTCCATTTTGATTCAGTGCCCCTTTTCATCTGAAGAAGTGAAGTATTTCAAAATATTTGAAACTCCCTCCTGGTAGAAAGTTGCTTAGTGAAAGATGCTGACTCATTTCTGTGAATGACGATATTGGATATTGTAATCTGCATTATTTAGCCCGTTGTGTGATATTAATCCATATTTTAAAAAGAAAGGAGAGGAGATGAGAGAGAAGGGAAGAGCAGAGAGGAGAAATGGAGATGTAGAAGTGAAGGAAGGCTATATGCCTCAGGTGGAGTAACTTAGAAGCTTGCAGCATAACCAGAAACGTATGCTATTTCCAGATTTCTCATGCAAAACACAAGTTATAAAAATAGGATTTTATTCACCAGGATGAATATGCAGATTGTCAGAAAAGCAATAACTTTATTGAAAGCCCTTGCTATGGATGAAAGCTCCTGATCTAGTTCTCTTATTTTTTCACTGGGATGCATTGACATCTACATGAAAACCCATTCAATAGACACTGTTAACATTTATATATTCTGAAAAGCAAAAACATGGGCATCATACTCTTAGTTTCTGAAACAGTTCCATTCCTTAAAGTCATGTAAGTCCAAAATAAATCAAGATCAGAACCGAGAATGTTATGGTCCAGATTCCTTTGGCCTATTTCCTGAATGAATTAAGCTTAGTGCATTTGTATGAACTGTTCTGTCAATCTTCATTTGTTCAAATTTTGTGCCAAGAAATATTTTAGTGTTGAACTACTGTATGGTACTGAATAAGGCATTTCTCTCTCCCCTTTAAGCTTGCAATCAAGTGGGTACAAACAAAAACAAATCATAAACATATAAATAAATAAGATCCATACATTAATTGGGCAGTGTTTAGTGCAGTTAACAAAAACACTCTAGATACTTTAAACAGAAGAGTTTGAAACGAAAGTTAATAGAGAAATACAGACAAAATGGTTCAAAAGGCTGAACAAGTGAAAGTCAGAGCCCTGCCACTGGAGCTCATATGTTCAAAGTCCCTCCAGTGTTGTGTAACCACATTCAAAGAGCTAGTGTTGAGCCACAGTTGCCTCTAGCATCCATGAAACTAGAGAGAATACACTGAAACACAAAATAGCGTCTTGGTCTTCTTATCTCAACAACCTTGTTTGTCAGCGTAAGCAAGGCAATAGCCTGTACTTCACTTGTGTTTTTCAAAAGTTACTTAAAACTTAATTTTGATTGAGAATTCTAGTGCAAAGAAGTCTGGTAAGTGTAGATTTTTTAGCTCACCAGTGTCTGTGGTATAGAAAGGCAGTTTAGAGGGAGGGTAGAGTGGAGGTTGAGTGAATCAATTCACATAACCTATCATACTGCAGATTAAGATAAATAATATAAGGAAGTAATATAAATGACATGACAGAAAATAAAATGTCAGTGGTAGTAGCTTACTATGATAGGCTGGTCAGAGAGGGCTCTTTGTGTAGCTGACATTTGATTGTAGACCTGAAGAAAGGCACTGATGTTAGCCATCTGAAGAGCTAGAGGGAAAAAAACCCACAAAGTAATGAACAAGGGGAAAGACAGCATTTGCGAAGGGGCTTGATGCATCTGAGGAAGAGAAAGAAGCCAAGTGTGGCTCAATTGCAATGAAGTGAGAGAGTGGGTCTTGAAGGTATAACATGAAGAGAGGAAGCCAAGTAAAACTAGAATCATGCTGGATCTTACAAATCATAAGATAAATAAACAACTACTAAAAAGTTTCAAGCAGAACAGCAAGATGATCTCATTCGCTTTCTAAACAAACTATTGAGTTTATGTGCTACATAGACTGTGGATTGAGATAATTCAACACAGAAGCTGAAAATAAGTTAGGGACTCTTGCGATAATCTCTTATGGCTTAGACTCACAGGCATTGTAAGTCGGCTGCAGGAAAACAATGGAATTTGAGGCATAGCATGGGGTAGACCTGACAGATTATGATATGTCCCATGGAACATGGCAAGGGTATATTAGAAAGAGAAGATCAAAGGATTGGTGGAAAAATTCATTGCATTTCCAAGTCTTTTCCTTACCGTTGCTCCTGACACTGTAGCTTTTATTTTTTTTCACCTCTTGAACTTGACATTTGATATTTCCTTTAATTCTGACTTTAGTTCTCCTTCAGGACTGCAGTTGTACTTATCCTTTGGATTGAGACTGCTTCTAACATATGACAAGAACAACCCAATTCAATACAGTCTTATCTACTTTTTGTTTGAGCTAACATGAGCAGCCAGTTTGGCCAAAAACTTTGCTGATGACTTTGGGGGAGTGATGGTAATTGCGTAACTTAAAAGATTATTTTAACTTTCCCAATTATTGAAGAACATAGATCTCAAAAATAAGTAAAATAAGTTTCACAACATTTGTTTAATACATTCTTTACAAAATACCTTGACTAATAAATGCATTACTTCAGGATTACTTGATCTGGGAGTGGGTGACCAAGAACTTTTGCCCTCCTTTTTCCAGACTGACGACAAACATATTTATGTTCACTGTGTCAAATGTCACTGCTCAATTTTTTTTTGGAAATAAATGACATTTGCATAGTTTGAAAACAGCAGAACTTGAGGAATTTTTGTTGGCTACTCAGTCAGTTATAGTTTTCTAACCAGGCTGTGGCAAGCAAACAACTTGAAAGAAAATTGACAGGAGACAAGTAGCTCTAGGTCAAAGAAAATGCTCTTAGATGACAAAATGAATTAAGGCACAGGCAAATACCTCGGAAATAAAGGTGATAGCAAAGTTGAGGAAAACAGATGTTATATTGACCTCAGTTCATTGGAATCAAATAACTAATTTGCTTACCATCGTCTAATACTTTGAAATGGTCCCTGAGGAAGCCAGGAGTAGCAGTGAATTTGTAAACTGGATACTTCCACATTTTGGTGAGGTGCATTTTGTGAGAACAAAAGCAATCCCTGTTGGAATGCAAACACAATGCTGCAATAACATTAGCATAATGTAAGGTCCCAGCTGACAGTATTCAAGGCAGCAACCTGAAATATGGGGAAATAACCACATCGGTTTTCTCTCCATTTCACTGCTTGATTGAAACACATAGCCAAGCATAACTCAGCTGACAGGTGAGAGGGACCCTCCAGCACAATGGGACACTGTCAGTAATACCTTCAGTATATTCAGTCTCAGTCAGAAGCTGAAAGGCTGAGTTGACACTCTTTCAAAAGGTCTAGAGCCTTACTCTCAAACCTGTATCAGTTTCAAGTAGCTAGTCATAGTATTCAGGTCTAAAAATATATTAAATTACCTGTTGACAGCTAGAAGTCAAGATGCCTGTTTTTTTGTGACCTTGGTTCTATTCCTTAAAATTTCTGAGTTTCAATTACCTGTTTTGTTAAAGATATATATATATGTAGTGAACCACATATTTAAGACAGGTCTCAATCAATTTAGAAAGTTTATTTTGCCAAGGTTAAAAATGCGCCTGTGACACAGCCTCAAGACGTCCCGAGGCTGAGGCTGAAGAATCACTTGGGCTCAACAGTTTGAGGCTGCAGTGAGCTATGATTGTGCCACTGCACACCAGCCTGGGTGAAGGAACAAGATACTGTTTTGAAAAAAAACAAAACAAAAAACAGCATACTAGGGGCCAGAACATAGGCAAATTATTTGAAAAATTTAGCCTCAATTTCCTTATGTGGGAAAGAAAAATAATTGTAACTTCTGAGCTATTATATCACAGAGATAGTTTAAGTATTAGACAGTCCATATAAAACACTTAGCATAGTACCTAAATAAGCATCCCATTCATGTTTATTAGAGGAATTAATACATGAATGAGTTAATGATATAATTATTTCAATTGGAATTCAAATACTAGTTATCTGAATCAGTTTGATCAATTCTACTCAATACATTTATATTGTCACCTCTCAATCTCAGCTTTTATCTATAAAATGCACTACTTGATTAGATCAATAATTCTCAAACACTCATGCATAAAAGAAGCATTCAGAGACTTCGTTAAAAATTAAGATTCCTTGGTCCCATACCAAAGGAGTCTTAATTAGAAGGTCTATGGTGAGGCCTGTGAATCTATATTTTAAAAAGCATCACAGTTGATTTCGGTTCACTTGGACAAAACATATTTTTTTAAAAGTCTGGGCTAAGATCTTTCTGGACTCTAAAGTTTTCTTCATTTTCATTACCACAAACTATTTCAAAAAAATCCACCTGCTACAATTTGAGGTTATTGACTCATTAATAAAAGAATCCCATGATCATATATATGTATGTACAGGCACATGCACAGATGCACACATACACACACACACACACACACACACAAATGTACTCAGCTGAACACTCACAGAAATTCCACTCTTACATCATCTGTACTGCTGATTAAAGTACTTGATTTTGAATGATGGGAGAAGTAACCATGATGCAGGGCTGCCATGTTGTAAACTTCCTGGAGGTATCTTAATCACATTGATCAGCTAGGTCAGCCAGCTCAGATAAGAAATCTCCTATTCAAAATGCCTAAAAGATATTCTCAAAGTCAGAGTGAAACTGAGACTAAAACAATAATTGCAGCATTCCTGACCTCATTATACTTCCTACTTCCGAATAACAATGCCTAAATACTAAATCTCTACATGAGCAACCTGACACTTAAAGTCCTGTCACGTTCCCCCTTGCGTCTCCAGAACCAGCCCAGGTTTGTGGTTGGAGAGAAGGAATGTAACTACAGGAACATTTTCTCATCTCTTTTAAATAGCCTCAAATTTCTTCTATACGAAGGCAGACACCTGGTAATCTCAAATTGAAGCCAAAGCATAAAGATAACTGGGAGAAAACACCAATCACTTCACAAACAGAGCATGAAAAATTTCACCAACCTAACAGCAGATCTGCTTTACTCCTTGCACATTTTTCTATAGAGTCATTTTGTGAATAAATCTTCCCCCTTGGAGGAGCATATTCCATTAGCTGCCAAGGCTGAGGAATGAGAGGAATCGGTGCTCTGTGAAGAGCAGCTCAGTTCACACAGCCTCGGGGCTAGCACCTTCTCAGTCTTTCTTAATGGTGCCTTTTGGGAAAAGTGCCTTCCTTTTATATCGAAACAGAAGTACATTCTATTTCCCATATGGGTATGACCCTAGGAAGAGTAGGAAGAAATAGAAAAACTAGACACTCAAATGTATTTAAGTGAGTAGCATGAAAAAACAGGAGTATTAGGTTCTCTTGTCCAGTTTTATAGTTGAATTCAGAGTAATCTCCAGCCTCTACAGTTATTGGAGGCAAAATTTAATCTGACATCAATAATAGATGAATAAATAACACAAACTCAGACATGGGAGTACAAGTGTACATGTGTGGTGATCATGAGAATATGCCTCTCAAATCTCCAACTGCAGGAAGTGTAATTGACCAAGAGTCCCAGCTGTAACCCCTAAAACCCACTGCTGTGTTTGTGCAGAGGACTCATTTCCTATGGCAGCTCTCAGTCAATGACAAAACATGGTAGAGATACTAAGGAAGTCTAGTGCTGGAGAAGCTAGCCTCTTCTAATGGATGACTTTGGCTTGCTAAATTTTCCTTAAAATGGCAAGTGTAGTCTAAGATGCTTCCATCCAAACTTTTTTCCTGCCTTCCCTTTCTCCTTCACTCTGGGTCAGGCTTGTATCATGGGCTGATGGCTCAGACTCTCCTGGCTCCCTCCCCGTTTTCTCCCACAGTTTTTTTAAATAATAAATTTTTGAATATTTAAACCCCTTTTGGTGTGCTTATCAGAAAACTCAGACTAACACAAAACACTTCTGTATATTTTTTAATTAAATATTTCAGTAAATTATTAATCAGAGTTGTAATATTTAAAAAGGTGGGATAGGCCGGGCGCGGTGGCTCACGCCTGTAATCCCAGCACTTTGGGAGGCCGAGGCGGGCGGATCACGAGGTCAGGAGATCGAGACCATCCCGGCTAAAACGGTGAAACCCCGTCTCTACTAAAAATACAAAAAATTAGCCGGGCGTAGTGGCGGGCGCCTGTAGTCCCAGCTACTTGGGAGGCTGAGGCAGGAGAATGGCGTGAACCCGGGAGGCAGAGCTTGCAGTGAGCCGAGATCCCGCCACTGCACTCCAGCCTGGGCGACAGAGCGAGACTCCGTCTCAAAAAAAAAAAAAAAAAAAAAAAGGTGGGATAAGAGCATGGTTTTAGTAGGGGAAGGACCAAATAAGTTTAATTTTGTTGTAAGCATTAGATCTACTTACTCTGTGCAAATAGTACTTCAAGTTGTTCATATCGAGCCCAGTTTATAAAAGGAGATTGTGAAATTTAGCAGTAAAGCTCATTAGTAATAAGGTTTACTTGTGCTTAATTTAATCTTTGTAGACGGCAGTCCCTCCAGTTACCCTAGGGCAAAGTGTCAAATAGATTTATTTTATTGAAGTCTTCATAAAAATGGTACTATTTGTCGAGAGTGAATAGTCTCATATCACTGAATATGAGACTAGTTGGTAAACATCTTTTGATCAGTGATGTTTGACAACAATGTTCTTGCATGGAGACCACAGTGATGTCAGAAAGCTGACTGAGCACTTTACTGTTTGGGGACCTGAGTCTTGGATGGATATCATCTCTCTAATTCAGTTTTTTGTATGTTTAAATAAAATACAAATATTCTTTGAAATGAAATATCAAACAGGACTTTAACAAAATAAGTTAAAACAAGATAATTATGATTAAAATTAGGACTAGCCTTCCTTAAAGCCCCTGATTCAGTCCCTGGTATGCTCCCTTACCAACTTAGGGCCCACTATAAGGAATTGAAACCAACACTCAAATGAGGTCTTACTATTCTGTATTCAACACTAAATTAATGCCCCCAATCTTCATAAAAAGAAAATTCATACATCTAACATTATTAATCATGAAAGATAATTCACTGAAGGTGATTTATCATAAAAATTCCACACTGAACTTCTCACGAGTTCATATTTTTCTTCATGATGAAAAATATATATGGCTTGCAGAGGATTCCTATATACAGAAAATCATTTCGTATAGCTTATGTGTCTGACACTACAGTGGTACTCAAATGTGAAAGCACTTTGAAAACAACTGATGCCTTATTTTAAAGCAACTATTCCCTCCCAAGATTTACTAAATGAGAATGTTCAAAGGTTAAGACCAGAGATTCTGTCTCCAATCAAAGCAAAATGAGATCCCAGAAGTGATTTTGATATACAGGTAAATTTGGGAACATTATTTCCACAAGAAATAATGAATCTAAATTATTTGGATTAAGGGTTGACAATTAGTCAATTTCTAATTAAAATTTCCAGGAAGATCCAGGTCTTAATTAAAACTTTGCAGAATATTTTATGATACTAGGTGGGTTTCTAAATACAGTTTAACTTTACTTTTTCTCATCTATAAATTAGAGAATATAAAAACACCCATTTCCTGTACAGTTTTTATGAGAACATTTTCTTTGAAATATGAAAGCTTAAGTGTTCCTAACATTGGTTTTAAATAAGCATTATTCACCAGTATACACATTGCATGTTGTATATGAACTATCTGTGTCCTTATCTAAGGTCAGCCCCTCTACCTGATCACTAGATCCTTCTCCTTCTTGTCTACTCAGGAACATCATTCAGACATTCCTTGTCTCTATTCTGCATCATGATTGTTATTGACTTTATCGAATACTCTCATGAACACACTCATGTGCTATAGTATCTCTGAATAAATTATCTTAACTACATACCCTTTCTTAGCTACATCCCATTTCCTGCTTCCCTTAAGAATAAAATTTCTTTATATAGTTATCTATATTTTTATCTCCAAATTTTCTCTTCCAGATACCTCATACCTAACATTCCGTCAAACACTCATCTCCATGTAGGTTATACCTGTAATTATATAACTTGGTAAATTAGTCCTGTGACTTGTCTTAACAGAAACAGTGTTCACTCTCTGTGAAATATCTTCTCTTGGCTTCCAGGGCATGACAGTCTTGGTTCCTGCCTTGCTACACTGACCATTCCTTCTTAGTTCCCTTTACTTGCTTCTCCTCATGTTTTCAATGTTTTAATGCTGGGATTCTTCAAAGTTCAGTCCATGGCCTTCCTCTCTTCTCTGTCTGTTTGTTTACAGGATAATCTTACCTAGTCTCATGGCATTATGCAGATGTCTTCCAAATTTAAATGTCCAACTTGAACCTGCCACATGAATTCCAAACGTGTCAATCCAACTCTCTAACCGACCTCTCCATTTGATGTCTAATAATCATCTCAGATTTGACTTGTCCTAAACCAAGTTCTTGACACTTCTCCCAAAATTTTGCTCCTCCCACAGTCCTCCAGATCCTAGCAAACAGTAACTCTATTTTTTTTTTTTTTTTTTTTTTTGAGACGGAGTCTTGCTCTGTTGCCCAGGCTGGAGTGCAGTGGCGCGATCTCGACTCACTACAACTTCCGCCTCCCGGATTCAAGCGATTCTCCTGCCTTAGCCTCCCGAGCAGCTGGAACTACAGGCACGTGCCACCACGCCCAGCTAATTTTTTTGTATTTTTAGTAGAGACGGGGTTTCACCATGTTAGCCAGGATGGTCTCAATTGTTCTGGAGTCTTTCTCTAATACACTACATACAATCCATAGGCAAATTCTGTTGGCGTCACCTTCGAAATCTACCCCAAATCTTACTATTTTTACAGCACTTCAACCACCAGTACCTTATCAAAAACCACTTCTATATTTCTTGTAAATTATTGGAACAGCCCTTTACCTGGTCTTCCTGTTTCTGCCTTTTGCATCCCTTCTTCCTTCCTCTCCTCCACACATACCACTAAAATCGCAGCATTGCAACTACAGTAATAAATACATCACTTCTCTGCACAAAAGCTTCTGGTGGCTTCCCCCCTCACTCAGGAAGTCTTTATAGTACTCCAGAAGATCACTTTCTGGCCTTCCCTGTTGGGCTCATTTTCTATTTCTACCTTGCCCACTCTGTTGCAGCCACACTGTCCTCCCTGCTGATTCGTGAACACACTGACCATGCTCTTGCTTCAAGAACACTTACATTGCTGTTCCCTCTGCCAGGACAGTTCCTCTAGTATCCACTCACCTCATTCAGTTTCTGCACAAATGTCACTTTTACAATAAAGTCATCCCTAAAGAACTAATTTAAAATTGTACCCTACTAAATAGAAATCCCCTTACCTCACTTAGAACACTCTAAAAGTGCTCTAAAGGACTAAATTAGCAATTTAGCCCTTTAGTACCCCACTGATTAGCAATCCCCTTACCCCACTTAGAGAGTGCTCTACTAGTACTTTAGGTAGTACCATCTAAACAGTGATGCCACTGTCAGACTAAAAATCACCATCATAGGTAGATACATTAATTTAAATCAGATAAACGTAATCATCTAATTTGAACATTATATTTCATCTACAATATCCACTTATTCAACAGGTATTTATTGACCATGCTGTACAATTTTCTAGGTGCAGAAGATACATCACTTAACAAAGAAGATCACTACACTTGGTTACTTGGAGTTTATATTTGAATTGGTAAAATATATGGCAGAAACTGAAAGTGCTGAGAAGGACCAAATTAGTAATGAGTAATTTAGCCCTTTAGTGCCCTACTGATTAGCAATCCTCTTACCCCACTTATAGAGTGCTCTTCTAGTACTTTAGATAGCAGCATCTAAACAGTAGCATCTAAACCCCTTGGGATTGCTAATTACCCTACTTTAGGAGGTAATTACATGAGGATGGTGAAGCCTTTATGGAAGGAATTAGGGTCCTTATAAAAGCACTTGAGGCAGTGGGTCCACTCTCTTTTGCTCTTCCACCATGTGAGGACACAGCATTCAAAGCACCACCTTGGAAGCAGAGATAAGGCTCTCACCAGACACCAAACCTGCCTGCCCCTTGATTTTGGACATCCAGCCTTCAGAACTGTGAGAAGTACATTTCTATTATTTATGAATTACCCAGTCTGGTATTTTATTATAGCAGCATAAAGAGACTGTGATAGAAGGTATGAATTTTTGTTCTAAACGAGGACTGGGGGTGGTAGGAACTTGAAAACAACGCTAATATAACAAATCAATTAGATTGCTTCTAGCTATTTTATTTTTCTTTCATTAATTAGTAATTCCAATCCAGTTCTGGGTGTGAAGTTCTACAGGTAAAACATGTTCCTTTTAGATATTTTCCTCTGAAAAGAATTGGGGAAATATTGCAAAGGAAAAGGAAAAGGGAAAGGAGTGATTCTGACATTTATGAATTTGTGATATTATGTACTGAAATTATGACCTGATTGTATATTTCTCCCTAGTCTGCATATAGGGAGGTTATTCAGGTAAACTACTACTGTTGCTTACTGAATTATTCCAGTGTCACTTCTCCCTACAACACACGTGGCATCATAATAACATGATGGTGTCACTCTGCCATCTCGAATAAGTAATCAAAGAAATCAGGAAGTGAGTTATAATGAGACTGTTGCCAAAGTATGGAATTTCTTACGAGTAATATGTTTTTTGTTTGTTTGTTTAAATTTGATTTGGGGGGAAAATTATGTATTCTGCATTGATAAGTTAAACAAATTATGTTTTTTATCCCATTATAATAAATATTAACATTTATTATCTTAAAGATTAATTGTTTTTTTATAAGATAAAATAACAATTGTAACTCAAATAATTTAGTTTTAAGTATCTAAGCTTTTTATTAACGTAGAAGAATCAGAGATAAATAGATAAGGAAAGGGGATTGTCCCCGGGATTTTTTTTCTTTTGTGATCTTGGCTCACTGCAACCTCTGCCTCCTGGGTTCAAGTGATTCTCCTGCCTAAGCCTCCTGAGTAGCTGGGATTACAGGCTTCTGCCACCACACCTGGCACATTTTTGTATTTTTAGTAGAGACGGAGTTTCACCACGTTGGCCCAGCTGGTCTCCAACTCCTGATCTCATGATCTGCCTGCCTCGGCCTCCTAAAGTGCTGGGATTACAGGCGTGAGCCATCGCACCCAGCCAGGAATATATATATATATATATATATATTTTTTTTTTTTAGAAAAATAGAGAATACCTATCACACAGGATAGGATTATCATAAGAAGGCAAAGAGGTAACATTTGAAAAAAATTTTGTAAATGTATTATTACTATACTGTGAATGTTTGATAGAAAAAGAAAGAACAAATGAAAGAAACTATTACTAGAATAATAGTTGTTCCTTATCTACACCATCCAGAAAGTTTCTGTAACACAGTGAAAACTTCAGTGTCATTTTAGTTATTAAATCATGGAGACAATTCGAAACCACACCAAACATACTCATTTAAATATCTTACGATCTCTTGGTTTTAAAAGTTTGTAAGATAACTCAAATTAGCCAATTTTAAGTTTAAATTAAAATAATATATATAATTGTTTTAATCTAATATAATTTCTACAATTTTAGGAAGTACAGTAAAATCCATGGAATTGGATGTGAAGTTTATTAGTATATTTTAAAGGAAAATCTGCAGGGCAGAAAAACACACAAAGACTAGTTAATCCTTTGTAAACTTCTATTGCCACTTCTGAAATATAAATTAAATTTTTAAAAAATTTTGTTTAGAAAGTGTCAAAAATTGTTAATAAGAAAAGTCACTAATAGGATTGGAACATGTTACTTATGTTAATAGTGCATACTTTAATGCTTAACATCAGGTTGCTATAATTTAAATGTGTTCCTCAAAGTTCATGTGTGGAAAACTTAATCCCCAATGCAACAGCGTTGGGAGGAGAATCCCAATAAGGGGTGATTAGGTCATAAGGGCTTTGCCCTTAGGAATGCATTAATGTTGTCATTGCTAGAGTGGGTTAATTATCTTGAGGGTAGGCTTGTTAAAAGGAAGTTAAAACCCCTCTTTATCTCTTGCTTTCCCAAATTCTCTCTAGCCCTTCCACCTTCTGCCATGGGATGGCACAGCAAGAAGGCCCTCATCAGATACAGGCCCTTCAGCCTTGGTTTTCCAGTCATTAGAACTGTAAGAAATAAATGTCTTTTCTTTATAAATTACCTAATCTGTGGCATTCAGTTATAGCAACACAAAACGGACAAAGACACAGGTGTTACTTTTCTGCATTATTTTTGGATCTCATCCTGACCTAAGATAGCAATAGCTGTATCATTAGTGAGTCAACTCTGTTCGCTAACAGCATGACAGTAAGAAATAAAACCACTCATCACAACAAAATGGGTAATCTCACTTGTGAAGAAGCTAACTCTCCCAAAATGGTTAGGAAAATAAAGCTTCTGTGCAACTAGATAACATCCAAATATAGACAAAATGAGAAAAATGTGGTTGGTAGAAAATTCAAATTAAAGTGATTTTTCAAATATTCTAAGATGCAATGTACTTTTATTTCTGGAATATCATTTTTTGAAACACAGTAGTGCATACTCTGCCAAGGGCGAGACAAGCAAATGCTCTTTATCTAGCTTATCTAAATAACCTATATATAATAGTTTATGATATAATGTAATATAAATAACCCAGTATATAACCTATGATAATTATAACCCAGAATAATTAAAAGTGTTGACTTTTCCAAACCAAGAAATTCATACAGGAGTTTTAAAATACTATATCATAATTACACTTTGAACATGAAATATGCAGAGCTGTTATTCATTGTAAAATTTTGTATTAATTTATTTTTCTATGGTAGTTTGAGAAATTCATTGTAAATATAGGCTTCAAAATATACCAATTTTCAAGTTCTCTTCTAAAAAATACTTTCTTCTATGTAAATCTTCATTAAATGTATGCAGCTTTGTGATAAACACTGTAGGGGTAGAGAAGTATGTAACAGTTGCTTTTGTCACCAGGAACTTTCAGTCTAGTAAAAAAAAAAAAAAAAAAAAAAGCCAACTATGAAGGATGTGGGTTAGTAAATAAATAAAAGTAAGGTAAATAAAACTCAGCTCAAACAGGCACACTAAGCCCAATTCAAGGATCCAGGAGTCATAATACGTATTTGTCACAGTGGCTTTTCTATAGGAGTTCACCTGCTATACGGGGAGATAGACTGATACACAGATCATTCTAGTGTAAAGCAGTAATTTACAAAACAGAGGTGAGCACAAAGTAATAAATCCTTCATTTACAGAGTGTTTTCTGAGAATTTATGAAGATATGCTTTCAAATTATACACTAACATTTGTGATCATTTTTTAATGAAAGCACATGAATTAGCCATGGATGATGTTACGAGCTTTGGCCTTGGTGGGAGAAGATACAATTTCTGTTGATGTCAGTAATTTCACAAAGTTTTATGATATTGAGCCAGTTCCTGTAACCTCTTCATCATTTCCTTCCACATAAAAAGAAAGGTTTTGCTTGATTGGGGTTCTAAATATGGGATCCACTGACACTCAGGAAGAAATCTGTGGGTAGAGTTCACAGGGTCTATAAATTGGAATGGAAAAACAAAATCATATTCACTAACTTCTAATAGACATTTACCATTTCCTTTCATTATGAATGTGCATGGCTAATCATAGAAGTATTTGCAGCACCTCCAAATTTGACACCACGAGACGTCACAATCACAGGTATTTTTCATGTGACATTATAGAATTGCAGATACTTCAAAATGTTAATGAGATAACATTATTTTACCCCGTTATACAATATTTTAATATGTAATAATACATACTGAAATATCACAAATTAGGTTTTTAAAGAATATTTTGATAATTATATTTCAGTGTCGTTGGATTATTTATAATTCCATGTATACATTTTATGCATGTAAGAACATTATTTTGAAAAATGAGTTCACCAGACTTCCAAAAGGGTCAAAAAAAAGGAAGTCAAAAATTCCTGCTGTATACAATCTTGAGGACTCAGTACAAATACGTAATATTTTCAGCACTAATTATTATCTAGGGCATTTACACTTTTCTATTCTCACCATGCAATAATTTCTAAGAGTGTTAAGGCAAAACAGAGATTAGTAAAGACTGGAATATATGATGAGTTTTTACAGCTTTTAGCATATTCTAGCGGTGTAAAGCATCTGAACATGAAAATGGAAAACAACAGCAAGTAAAACCAACAAGCAATGCAGCCACATTTTGTAGAATTTCTGTGTGCATTTTTTTCAAGAATGCCTCTTGTTAGTTTAGACACTCATGTGTCTAATCCATTTTGGTTTTCTGACTTCTTGGCCTGGCTTCATCAATGTTCCTGTGACCAATCACCTAATTTCACCTTCTGGATCACCTCTTCCTGACACTAGATATCAAGCAGCCTGACAAAACAACTTTAGAAAATACTTAGGAAATCTTCTTAGTTAGAGAGTTTTATAGTGGATAAAGACTTAAGGGAAGGCTCTGAGAAATTATACTTGGAAAATTAGAGGATGCAGTTCAGGATTTCCCAGCTTAGAGGAAGAGACCTGGAGGAGAAGTGCGTGTCGTGCCAAATGAAGACGATGGCCTATCCAGAGTCGATTCTATTAATATGTGTGTGTGTCTGCATACATGTGTGCATGTTGTGGGACCGTGGAAAATAGTTCAGGGTAGGCATGTAAGCTCAGGTTACAATAAATCAGGAAAACCAGGAATTTAGCAATTATACATGAAGAAAGTGATCAAAAATACTACTTTGAATAAATTACATAAGAAATAAGGGGGAAATGAACGTATGTACATGATTAGCATCATCATTACTACTTTAATTCTGTGTTTTATATTGGCTATGCTTTTATGCTACCTGTAATTCTTTTAGAATCTAAAATTTATTTTTTTCTGGATATTCTAGGCCTACTTTTTAATTATTTTAATGGTTTTCATTCTGATTTGCAGAAAGAATAGTGTTGTTCATGGTTTTGCTCCTGTTCCGCTGACTTGCTGACTTCTGCTCATTTTTTCAGGAGTCAACAGAATGGAAGGTGGGATGGGGGATCAGACTGGGTTAGACCCGTGATAAACCTTGGGAAAACATTCTTTGCTCTCTGAAATTATTGCAGTTTTCTCTAGTCTGTGGGGGCCCACTTAGCTTTCCTTTGTTTATATTCTTTATTTACTCACCTAAGCAGTGCATAAATAATTTGTTTGGAGCCTCATTAGGAGTTTAATGAACTTTAACCGAAGGAAATCTTGTGAGATTTCTGACAAAAGTAAACAAACAGGTACAGCTCTACATGGCCCCACCAGCTTAAGTGATGGTATTTAATTTTATAAAATTTAACTAAGATGGAATAAAAATGATGTTATTTCTGAAAAGCAAAATTTGCAATATAATGATAAGTAGATGTGAAAAATACACTTATTCTAAAATTACTAAGCAATCTGATTAAAAGATGGGAAGATTCAATGAAAGTTTTCATCATATAATGTAATTTAAATGCTTTATAACAAATTTACATAATTTCAGTGCAGTGAAAAGCAATTTCAGGCCTTCTTTCCACAATTTATAAATTTGTAAAATGGTTATAGTCAGGGGTTTCCTTAACTCAATAGCACTGCATTGATTTACAAAACACAAACAAAAAAGTCTCAATAGTTGTTCATATTTACAAAGGAAAACTTTGTGTAGTGATCTTTAAGTTGCCTTTTATGAATAGGAATATAAACATGCTTTAGAATCAAAGGGGTATCAACAGGAAATTTGCTGTTCTCTGATTTTTCTAGGCTTTTCGGCCTGCTACCCAAAGCTTCAAAAATAAACATAGTTTAGTGAAGCTTCTAAACTCAGGGTGTATAGAGAAACGACAAGGAAAGAAAGGAAAGGAAATGGTTTGTGTCTGACATAATGATGAAGTGTATGGTTGCTGCTCACTGGTGAAGATAAACAAAATGTAGCTGAATAGAAGCATGTCTTCTGTATCTTGTCCATTTTTACATACCAGGATAAAACATCTGAACTGATTAATCAAAGGTTATTCCAGAATGATCACAGAGACATATAAGTTCTGAAATAAATATTTATACATATGGAGGTATTACATAGTCTTGATTCTGGAAACATAGAAGTCTTGGAAGTAATTCTAGTCTTAACTAGCAGTTCTCTGTCTATGGATTGGTGTTTTTCTAGAATGATGTTTCAATGGTAAAATTTATAGTAATTTAAATCTGTTCTTTGGGAGAGTTGTGAAAGGTTTTTTATTTTACCATGTTGTTAGAGTGTTAGTTCTTTTCTTTCTTGTAAGATGAATACTATAGACATTGTTTACATGGCACTTCCTAGCCTGTGTAAGGCTATAAACTGCTTCAGATGCTTTAGAAAGTATTTTATTGCTTCCATTTAAATATATAAAGTTAACTAACTACAAATTATATATCCAATTATTTAACATTATTTTAGGATATCTACTTGATTACTAGTGATATGGTTTGACTGTGTCCCCGCCCAAACCTCATTTTGAATTGTCATTCCTATAATCCCCACATGTCATGGGAGGGACCTGGTGGGAGGTAATTAAATCAGAGGGGTAGTTACCCTCATGCTGTTCTCATGACAATGAGTAAGTTCTCATGACATCTGATGGATTATAAGGGGCTTTTGCCCCTTTGCTTGGCACTTCTCTTTGCTGCTGCCATGTGTAAAAGGATGTGTTTGATCCCTCTTCTGCCATGACTGTAAGTGTGCTGAGGCCTCCCCAGCCATGATGACTGTGAGTCAATTAAACCTCTTTCCTTTATAAATTAGCCAGTTGTGGGTATGTCTTTATTAGCTGCATGAGAATGAACTAATACAGTAAATTTGTATGACAGAAAGTGGGGCGCTGCTGTAAAGATGCCCAAAAATGTGAAGGAGATTTTGGGACTGGGTAACAGGCAGAGGCTGGAATAGTTTGGAGGGCTCAGATGAAGACAGGAAAATGGGGGAAAATTTGGAATGTCTTAGAGACTTGGAGGGCTCAGAAGACAAAAAGATGTGGTAAAGTTTGGAATTTCTTAGACACTTGTTAAATGGTTTTGACCAAAATGCTGATGGTGATATGGACAACAAAGTCCAGGCTGAGGTGGTCTCAGATGGAGATGAGAAACTTGTTAGGAACTGGAGCAAAGGTGACTGTTTATAATCTTATGCTTTAGCAAAAAGACGGGCAGCATGTTGCCCCTGCCCTAGAGATCTGTGGAACTTTGAACTTGAGAGAGATAATTTATGGTATCCAGTGGAAGAAATTTCTAAGCAGCAAAATATTCAAGAAGAAGTGGAGCATAAGAGTTTGGAACATTTGCAGCCTGACAATGCAATAGAAAAGAAAAATCCATTTTCTAGGGAGAAATTCAAGCTGGCTGCAGAAATTTGTATAAGTAATCAGGAGCCAAATGCTAATTGACAAGACAATGAGAAAAATGTCTCCAGGGCATGTCAGAGACCTTCACGGCAGCCACTCCCATCATGGACATGGAGGCCTAGGAGGGAAAAATGTTTTTTGGGCCCAGGTCCAGGGAACCCCTGCTCTGTGCAGCCTTGGGACTGGGTGCCCTGCATCCAAGCCACTCCAGTCAGTGTTAAAAGGGGCCAAGGTACAGCTCAGGCTGTGGCTTCAGAGGATACAAGCCTTAAGCCTTGGCAGCCTTCATGTAGTGTTGGGCCTGTGGGTACACAGACATCAGGAAATGAGGTTTGGGAACCTCTGCCTAGATTTCAGAAGATGTATGAAAATACCTGAATGTTGAGGCAGAAGTCTGCTGCAGGGGTGGAGCCCTGCAGAGAGGCACAGAGAACCTCTGCTAGGGCAATGCAGAAGGGAAATGTGGGGTTGGAGCCCCCATGTAGAGTCCCTACTGGGGCACTGCCTGTTGGAGCTGTGAGAAGAGGGACACCATCCTCTTGACCCCAGAATGGTAGATACACCAACAGCCTGCACCATGTGCCTAGAAAAGCCACAGGCTCTCCAGGCCATGAAAGCAGCCAGAAGGGAAGCTGTACCCTGCAAAGACACAGGAGCAGAGCTGCCAAAGGCTGTGGCAGCCCACTTCTTGCATCAACATGACCTGGACGTGAGACACGGAGTCAAAGGAGATCCTTTTAGGACTTTAAGGTTCAATGACTGCCCTGCTGGATTTCAGACTTGCATGGGCTTATAGTCCCTTTTTTTTTTTGGCTAATTTCCACCACTTGGAATGAGTGTATTTACCCAATGCCTGTACCTCTATTGTATCTAGGAAGTAACTAACTTGCTTTTGATTTTATAAGGTCATAGGCAGAACGGTCTTGCCTTGTCTCAGACTATGGACTTGGACTTTTGTGTTAATGCTAAAATTGATGTAGAAACTTTCTTGGTCACTTTGCCAGTCAGGACCTCCAACTGGCGACATCCACCCTCACCCCCTGCCTGGGGCTCACTTGGCCCTGGGCCTGCAGCTGGAGTCACCTTGTCCACTCATCTCCCCTTGACTAATATTGGCTGGCAACCAGCTGAGTCTGAGGATGGGCTGGGAACACCCCAGCCCACCTATATTATATCTTGTACCCACATACGTTGGTTCCTGAGCTCTTGTCCTGTGTCCAAGAAGATGGAGGATACACTGACAGTTGAAGGGTTAGGATGGGTGGAGAAGAATTTTATTGAGTGATGGAACAGCTCTCAGCAGAGAGGGGAAGCAGCAGGGGGTGGTGCCCCACCCCTGCAGTTGGGTGGTTTTGTTTTCTCATTGTAGCTGGGTCTGGAGCTTTTCATAAACTCTGAATGGCAAGTGTGTGCTAATTGGTTTGTGAGTATGCAAAAAAGGTTAAAGTGAAGACATCACTCAAAGGAGGGCAAGACAGTATAGAAAACCAATTAGGAAAGAGTAGGTTTATGTAAAATAGGTGAAGGGTGGGGATCAATCAGAGCACAGTATGCCAATGGGAAGACAGGTTCTCAACATGGTCTGAGGATTTAGCTTGGCTTTCAGGCTTTAAACTGTCTTCAGCTTGGAAGTGGAGATTCACTGCGGACCTACCCCTATCTGCCCAGGCATTTGACTGCCTCCTGTTACTATCAAAATGAGTTAAGACTTTGGGGAACTGTTGGGAAGGCATGATTGTGTTTTGAAATGTGAGGACATGAAATTTGGAAGGGGACAGAGACAGAATGATATGGTTTGGCTGTGTCCTCTCTGAAATCTCATCTTGAATTGTAGTTCTTATAATCCCCACATGTCATGGGAGGAACCAGATGTAAGGTAATTTAATCATGGGGGCAGTTACCTTCATGCTGTTCTTGTGATAGTAAGTGAGTTCTCAAGAGGTCTGATGGTTTTATAAGGGGATTTTTCCCCTTTTACTCAGCACTTCTCCTTGCTGCCGCCATGTGAAGATGGACATGTTTGCTTCCCCTTCCACCAGATTGTAAGTTTTCTGAGGCCTCCCCAGCCATGCTGAACTGTGAGTCAATGAAACTTCTTTCCTTTCTTTTATAAATCACCCAGTCTCATGCATGTCTTTGTTAGGCACATGATAATGGACTAATAAAACTATTTTATTAATAAGTGATCAAGTAATCTCTTTTTGAGACAGGGTCTTGCTCTGTCAACTGGGCTGGTGTGATCACAGCTCTCATGCAACCTCCACTTCTGGGGCTCAAGCAATCCTCCCACCTCAGACTCTTGAGTACGTAGGACTAGAGGCTTGCACCACCACACCCAGCTAATTTTTGTTTATTTGTTAATTTTCTTTTTTGTAGAGATGTGATTTCTCCACGTTTTTTAGTCTGGTCCTGAACTACTGGGGTCTAGTGTTCTGCCTGCCTCAACATCCCAAAGTGCTGGAATTACAGGCCTGAGCCACTGCACCCGGCCTAGCTTGTAGTCTCTTGAAGTACAGAATTGAAACTGGCAAAATAAATTGGCTACAGGTTTTTAGACTGGATTAAATTAATATATATTATTAAAAAGATCATATTGTCCCATTATTAAAAATTATTTGAAAATAAAGTCAACCATAATCCCAAAACACTGATGACCCATTTACTTCTTAAATTATTATTTTCACTTTCTGTTTTGTACTCAAGGATGTTTTTGCAGTTTATTTATTTATTTTAATCATTTAGGTATCAGAGCAAGTATTTCAATCTTCATAGGGTTTACCTCTACCTTAGCTAAAGAGTAAATCTCTGTTACCCTCTCATTGTCATGCTTCCTTATATTTCCTTTTGTTTGTTTTCCTTTATAAGACCTTTAATATGTAAAATAATTACTTTTTTATGGTTGCTATTTCCTCAGTTGACGTTATCTCTATGAGGGCAGGAATGTTGCTTATGTTTCCAGATATAGTAATACAAATAATACCTATCCTATAATATATAATAAAAAAATTACTGAGTGAATGAATGAAAAAATCAGAAAAGCTTTCATAAATTAAGGGCTGATAGTAAAGGTATAAGCTAGCAATTCATATAGCAGTAAAGACTGAAGTCCTTAGATTTCCAATGATTAGAAAAATATCTATACTCCAAGGATAATTCTTAGAAAACACTCACCTTTCTTTTAAGGATGGAAATATATTTTTATTGTTTAATGTTATCACATTGTATAAAATGTACTACAATTTGTTATTGTTTCAATGATGACCATTTGGCACAGTTCCAATTTGAGATTATTTATGAATAAGATTGCTATGAATATACACACATTTATAAACTTTTGTGTGAACATTTTATGGGCATTCTGTTTTGAAGGGTAAATGCCAAGGAGTTGAATGCTAGCTTATAGCATTGGTGTACCCTCATCTTTGTAAGAAACTGCCATATATTTATCCAGAATAACTGCACCGTTTTACATTCCCTGTAGACTATGAAATTTCCAGTTGTTCCACATCCTCACCAATACTTGACACTGCAACATTTCTTTATTTTAACTATTTGTGTGGATAAAAGCTATTATCTCTTTATGAAATAATATCTCTCTGAGGAATAATGATGTCAAACACCTTTTTATGGGTTTATTATTTTTATATAGTAATTTGAGAAGTATTGAATAAAATATTTTTTCTATTGTATTTTTGTTGTTTTTTAAAATTATTAATTTATATAAGTTTTTGTATATTCTGGATGCAAAGCATTTATCAGTATATTATAAATAATACATAATATATAAAATATAATAATATATAAAATATAAATTACATATATACACACACATATACTGAGAATAGAATGTTTTCTTCCAGTATGTGCATTGCCTGCTTATTTTTTTACTGTGTGTCTCTTTAAGGATAGATATACTCAATTTTGATGAATTTAAATTTAACATTTCCTTATAATAAGGATAGTGCTTTTTGTCCTATATAAGAAATTTTTATTTAACCTACAGTTGTAAAGATACTCTTATTTTTTATAGAAGCATTACGACCTTAGCTATGATTCTTTTAAGTCTATTATCCATCTCAAATTAAATTTTGTCTATCAAGTAAAATAGAGTTCAAAGTTCATTTTTTTCCATATGGATATCCAACTGTTACAGCAGCATTTGTTGAAAAGCCTTTCCTTTTCTCACTGAATTACACTGGCTCCTTTGTCAAAAATCAGTTGACTATATATGTGTGATTTTTATTTCCGGACTCTATCCCTGTTTCTGATTTTAAGGAGAAAGCATACGTGCTAGCATTAAGGGTAATGTTATCTATAGAATTTTTTTTTTCATAGATGTCTTTTCTAAAATAGAAGAAGATATTGTCTATTCCTAGTTTACTAAAAGATCATTATAGTGAATGGCTGCTGAATTTTGTCAATTGTTTTTTTCTGCTTTTAGTGATTAATCATATGATTTCCCCCTTATTCTATAATGTGATGATTTAAACATTGATTAATTTTTGAACCTAGGATTTTGTGAAGAATTTTTGTGTCTATGCTGGTCTTGTTTTTGTTTTGCTATTATAATGCATTCTCTAGTTTTCTTATTAGAGTCATCATGGATCATAAAATGAATCAACAAATGTTACTTCTTCCTTTTTCATTTTCTGAAATCATTTGTATAAGATTGATGTTGTATCCTACTTTAATGTATGATGGAATTGACTGGTCAAGAGAAATGGGACCAGAGTTATTTTTTTTAAGGTTTTTTTTTTTTTTTATGAGAAATTCTATTTTTTAAAAAGAAACTTTTCCATTTCTTCTTGGTATTAAATACATTGCTATAAAGTTGTCTCTTATGTTTTTCTTCCTTTTGATGTCTGTGGAATCTGTGGTAATGTCCTTTCTTTCATTCTTAATATTGCTATTGGTGCTTTCTCTTTTTATTATTTGATTAGTTTTGCAAGGGCTATGACAACTGTATTAATATTTTTTTGTTTACTTTGTGATCTTTTTATTTATTTCCTATCTGCTATTTTATTGATTTCTACATTCATGTTTATTTTTCCTTTCTTCTGTTTACTTTTGACTTAATATGCTTTGTTTCTCCAGCTTTTTAAGTTAGAAGCTTAGAATTTTTTATTTAAAATATTCAATATACCCATTACATATTATAATTATTTCTATAAATACTGCTTTATCTAATAGGTTTTTACATGTTTTGTTTTAATCTTCATTCAGTGCTAAATATTTTCTTCTTTTCCATGTAAACTTTTAGTTCATAACAAATGCAGAAATGTGTTTATTAATTTTCAAGTATTTGGATATTTTATAAATATTATTGAATTTTATTTATTAGGGGTTATTAAAAAACACACTCTGCCTGAAATTTCCTGAGACTTCTATTATGGCCCAATTTGTTCATCTTGGTCAGTGTTCCATGTGAAATTGAAAATAATGTGTATTCTGATGTTGATGGGTGTAGAGCTCTGTGTATTTCATGAAGTGAACTCTTTATTTCTGATATATTTTTTTCAATTCTGAAATTTCCATTGACGTCTTTTGTATCATTTCTCTGTTGAAATTACCTGTTTATGCATTAGTCCACCTGTAACACTAGATGCTTTAATACACCTACCATTGTTATCTTACAATTTTTCCTTTCTAATTCTAACATCTGGACCATCTATGGATCACATTGTATTGACTATTTTACTTTTGACAAGTCCCTTTTTCCTACTTCACTGTATCTCTCAAAAGATACATATTTGCCAAACTTTATCTTTACATCTTGTGATGGTTAATACTGAGTGTCAACTCGATTGGATGCAAAGTATTGATCCTGGGTGTGTCTGAGTTTGCTGCCAAAGGAGATTAATTTAACATTTGAGTCCGTGAGCTGGGTAAAACAGACTCATCCTTAATCTGAGTGGGCAGCATCTAATCAGCTGCCAGCACAGCTTTGATAAAAGCAGGCAGAAGAACATGAAAAGGCTAGGCTGGCTTAGCCTCCCAGCCTACATCTTTCTCCCAGCCTGGATGCTTCCTGCTCTTGAACATCAGACTCCAGGTTCTTCAGTTTTGGACTCGGACTGGCTTTCTTGCTCCTCAGACTGCAGACAGCCTATTGTAAGACCTTATGATTGTGTGAGTTATTACTCCTTAATAAACTCCACTTTTTATATACATGTATCCTATTAGTTCTGTCTCTCTAGAGAACCCTGATTAATATACATCTTAAAACAATGAGTAGAAACGGAAATGAATGAAATATGTCCCCCAGAAAAGAGCGTATCTCTTGCTCTCTCAGGCTGCTAATGAAGGAGGATGAGCCACTTTAATTGGTGATTTTGCTCAGCCTTGGATTTATTGCACCATTAGATCGATTCAGTTTACCTCTGTCCTTATATTTAAAAGATGTGGTATTAAGACATTTTATTTGTTAGGTTTTGGGTTGTGAGCCCTAGTGAGATCTTCAGATTTCTTGATGCTTTATAACCTAATTAGCAGTTTCCTGATTTGTCAAAGATCTCTCTCTCTCTCTCTCTCTCTCTCTCTCTCTCTCTCTCTCTCTGTCTGTCTTTCTCTCTGTCTGTCTCTCTCTCTCTCCTTTATATCACAGCCAATAGCTTTTTGACTTGCTGGGGAATTCTCTTTACTTTCCAGCCCTTTCTGTTCCTCAGGAAATACAGCCTTTGGTTATCTCCGCAGTACACTCTGTGAATTTTGATGCATTTTAGGGTTATTTCTCTGCCCTTCTTTCCTGCTCCCAGCGATTAGCAGGATTATGCTTTGTTACTTGGTGAAAGTGGTATGTGTTTTGAGGCATCACTCTTTTCCTGTCCTCACAGTTTTCAGCATTCCCCTTGCTACCACTGTATACTGTAGGCCCACAGTAAAAAGTCAGTGTATAAAAGTACACTTATTTTGTTACTAGAGATCCCTGGGATTCTAGGCCATCATGACAGTCACAATGTTATTACTTCCCATTTAATAGAGACTATTATAATCCTTTAATGCTAGAAGAATCTGTCCACTGTCATTGGAAGTTGTTACCCTACAGTGAAAACTGAAAGCTTATATTTATTGACAGAAAATGACAGTAAATTGGGATACCTGAGCTTGGACTTTAAGTATATTGTCTTACAAATTCTGATGAAGTCTATGAATGCTATATATTTACAATTAGGCACAAAATGTGAGGGGATGATGCCCTGCTAAGAAAAATAGCAATAGAATTTATATTTTGTTTATTTCTCAGGTATAGGAACAAGAGTGATGCACACACTTGTTTTCTTTTCCTTTCTTCTCTTTTCTTTTCAAGGATACAATACATTTTATTAACTGCAATCACCATGCTGTGCTTTAGGTCTCCAGAACTTATTCATCTTATAACTGAAAGTTGATACCATACAGCAATCATCTCTCCCCTTCCCTCACCTTCCAGCCCCTAGTAACCACTATTTACTCCTTTTGGTGTGAGTTTGACTTTTTAAATTAATTTAATTTAATTTTAAGTTCTGGGATACACGTGAAGGACGCACAGGTTTGTTACATAGGTAAACGTGTGCCACGGTGGGCAAACACTTCTTTTCTAAATTCTAAAGGTCAGTGTTTTGAGACTTTACATGCATTGTCCTAGAAGCTGAGCAGATGTTTCTGTGGGCTAAAATACATAAGAGAGACCTATAGGAAATAAGAGCTCAACTGGGAGACAGTGGTATTGATAGAGGCTGAAAACAAAAATGAACCAATATTTTAATAAGTCATCTCTCTGAAGAGCAAGACAGTGAAGGGATTCGCTTATAAGTTGTGAGATGGAAACCAGGGATTGCAAACAAAGCAGCATGTTTAAAACAGAGGATATGGACAGAAACCATAAATAAGAACAAAGACTGCCCTGATAGCTGCAGCAGTTATTTTTTTATTTTTTAAATAGGTTTCCTGTAGTCTTAGGCACTGGGAAGAATGCCAATATTATTTGCCATGCCCCTATGGTCTATGAATGTACCATGATCTTTCTATTGTAGTGTCTTTGCTTTTTCTGCCTAACATAGTTTCTCATCTTCCTTAACCTTTAACCTGACCAACTTCTTTTCAACCACTGGGATTCAGCGTAGATGATGTCTCCTGAAATGAAGCCCCCCTTAATTTGATGATTCTTATTTATTCTTCTTCTGGTCTCAGATTCTTCTAAGTTGTCTGATCAGGAATAAAAAACTG
This sequence comes from Homo sapiens, assembly GCF_000001405.40. Lineage (NCBI taxonomy): Eukaryota > Metazoa > Chordata > Mammalia > Primates > Hominidae > Homo > Homo sapiens. The sequence goes on from NC_000002.12 coordinate 52,366,437, forward strand.
TAGAGCAAAGTCCACATCGTATTTGTTATCTGTCTCCCTCGCCATTGGCAAAGCCCCGATACATAGTGAGTGCTTAGTGATAATTAAATGCTGTACATAGTAATTGGGTATTTGTATTTTTTTCTCTTTTTGAGACAAGGTCTCACTCTATTGCCCAGACTGGAGCATATTGGTGTGATCTCAGCTCACTGCAGCCTCCTCCTCCCAGGCTTAAGCAATCCTCTCACCTCAGCTTCCCTAGGAGCTGGCACTATAGGTGCATATCACCTGGCTAATTTTTAAATTTTTTGTAGAGATGAGGTCTCACCATGTTGCCCAGACTGGTCTCGAACTCCTGGGCTCAAGTGATCTACCTGCTTTGGCCTCTCAAAGTGCTGGGATTACAGGTGTGAGGCACCCCACCCAGCCGTATTTTTTCTTATCTCAGGGAAATCTTTCTAGAAGGGAAGAATGCTGTGAAGAAACCTCTTTTTCGGAAAGAAGTGAGAAGTTTGAAGCAAAGTGAGCTACTTGGGAGATGCTTGGTTGTGTAGTCCCTACCTGACAAGCCTTTCTCCCCAATACCCAGCCTCAGATCAGTTTGCTGTGATATGCAGTGCTTGGCATCCCCACCATGAAGATGACAGGGTACACTGAATCCAGATGAAAGGAGGACCCCACATTCTCTTATATTCTTCCTATACTTTATAGAGAGGAACTTTAATGCAGCCAATCAACTGTCTCACTACTAATTATCTAATGACTCTCCCATAGTTAAAGTCACATGAGACATTTTGTGCCTCTTTTTGTATCAGCCAATAGTCTATATTTCAGAATTGCCTAATTTTCTCAAGGATTTTAGATTGTTTTTCCTCATCACGTTATTTTGATACTTTTCAAACTATGATACAGAAAAGTATCATAGATATGAGGGCTTTAGGTGTGCATATTTGAGGGAATGTGCATATTTGAGGGAAATACAGAGTTGGTTTTGGAAAAAAATTAAGTTTGCAAGGGTTACCACTACTGACATTGAAAATAACTGCAGAATGTGATATATTTCACTGTTTATGCCCAGTTGAGCAGGGAAAAAAATTCTATATTAAAATTAAAAACTTTCAAAAAGATCTTAAACCATGTAGGTATATTAAAAAAAAAAAAAACTTGGCAAAATTAGAGCTCCAGACACTAAACCACAAAAACTTGGATTACAGAATAATTAAACAATGGTAATGAATATGGTAAAAAAAAAAAAATGTTCCCAATAACTTTGCATTTCCTAATATCAATATTCATGACAAATCTGAAGAATAATTATCCTTACTTTTTATATAAGAAATCTAAATAAGTTGTACAATATATATTCTGCTGAGTTAACAACTCAGCAGAATATATATTGATATTCAGTTAATTTGCTTTTAATACCCATTTTCCCTGTTAAATATTCCTTTCCAACTGCTCTGTGTGTTACTCACCCCAATAGTATCACATAAATGTTTTTGGATTTGAGTACTGAATAGTGAAGGGGGTAGCACAGTAAGTTAAAGATATTTGGATATCAAAAAGTATTTTCAACAGGAGAAACAAGAAAAAGGTAAACCTAAGCACAAAGCAAGACAGTCCTTCCTGGAAGGAGAGTTAGCTACCTCATCGCTGCATTAAGAGATTTTACTTTATACACAATAGACAAATAGTAAATATTATTATAAGCTTACCAAAATATTTTTTTCCACTTCATAAGCTCTCTGAGTCAAGTATTGGAATACCTCAGTTCTTACATTTGGAATGCTCTAGGGATCAGTCCTCAAGTCTTTTCTATTTGTACTCACACTCCTGGTAGTGTCATGCAAACTCATGGCTTTAATATCCTCTATATGACAACTAATTGTGAATTACATTTTCAGTTTAGGCCTCTCTCCAAAATTCCAGGCTTAGGTATCTGACATCTCCTCAACAGGTCCTTTGGAACATGTAATTAAAAACCTGTCCAAAAACAAACTTCTTATCTGCCAAAAAGCATGCTCCAGTTACAGCCATCCTTGTACAAGGAAAAAAAAAAAGAATTTCACATGGATCAGTTTAGGTCAAAATCATTAAATTGTTCTCTGGAATTTTTGTTTTTCTGTCATATCTCACCTTACATTTTTTACTAAATCCCGTAGATTTTGATGTTAAAATATTTTCAGAGCCCATCTGTTCCTTGCCCTCTTTACTGCTAGTAACTGAAACTACCATGATCTCTTGCTTGGATCATAAAATGGCCTCTGAAATGTTCTCTAACTTTTTGCTCTTGACCTTTTGTATCCATTCTAAACACATAAGACCAAATGACCCTTATAATATCATGCCATAGCATGTCACTACTCTGCTCAAAACCTTGCCATTGTCAAAGTCCATGCAAGGCCCTGCAGGACCTGGCCTCCTGGCCTCTCTGACCTTATCATTCTGCTCCAGCCACACTGGACCCCTCAACCATGCCAGGTTTGTTATAGTTTTATTAAGCCTCTTGTTCTAACTATTTCTTCCAAGAGGGAAAGTTTGTCAAGATACATACAGTGGCTAATTCCTCATATCTATAAAATTTTCCTTCAAATCTCTCTACCCAATTACCACTTTATTTAACGCTGAAACTTACTCGTCCTTATTCAACTCTCTTTCCCCTTATTCTGTTTTTTATTTTTAAAATAACACCTAACTACCTTCTAATATATTGTGTAATTTACTTCTCTATTATACTCAATTTAATTAAATTCTCTATTTAATTACATATAAATTATTATATTTAATATATATTAAATTTCTCTATTATATTTAATTTCATTATCTGCCCTTACTCCAAAATATAAGCTCCACAGTGAAGTTCTTTCTCAATTTTGTTCATTACTATATTCCATGTACATAGAACTCTGCCTAGCACACAGGCTGACACAAAATAAATATTTGCTGAATTAATGTTGCATCGCCTCAGGCCTCTAACGGTGTGACATTCCATGGATGATTAAAGATATAACTATAAGCCTCAGCCTTTATGAATCAAATTTATGCTTTTGAAAAAATTCTAAGTTAGCCTACAGATGCTAACAATGAACCAGTCCAATTGCAAAGCTAAAGTTAGAAGAAAAAACAGGATAATGTATTTATTTTACTCTTATTCACATCAGAATTCAACTGTAATATGTGAAATCATTTCAGGGTCTGGCCAGTTCCCTTGACTTAAACACATTGCTTCAAATATTTTTTGAAATTGGTATCTGTAGAAATACATAACTATAACAATGTCTTGTCTTTACAAAGATTTATAGCAATGTTATTTGCTCTAATAGACTTTAAACTCCATCTGTAGTAGATACACTGTCTTATTTTAGGTCTGACTGATAGTCACATGCACTCACCTATCTTCAGATATACAATACCAATTGCTTCTTATATGTCCATCATTTCCACTTACATTGATAAACTATTTGTCTCAACAAAAATAACATTCCATCCTGAACTTCTACAAAATCCAAAGCCAGGAGAACTAAATTCTAATTATGATGGTGCTGTGTCACCTTGCGCAAGCCAAACAACTTTTTTAACAAAAATAAAACATGTATTATATGCATATTGCCATACCCTTTATGGACCCTGGTGAATCTCTGAGGGTAGACATGTCAGTATTGTTTTGAATGCAAGATCCCAGGTAGCTTCTACCAGTCCTTGTTACATAGGATAAAACTCACTAAACACTTCTTGAAATAGTATCTGTTATTAACATTGCTAAAAAACACTGTTTTTTAATTCGCTACCATGTGTCAGGCACAATTTTATTCTCTATTATGCATTATCTTAATCATAATATCACTGTAAAGCAAGGATTGTTAGTGATATTTTATCAAAAATAAAACTGAATATTAAGAAGTTATTAATTTTCCCAGTCATGAAGCTAGTAAAAGGTTAATATGAGCCTTGACCTCAGGTTTCTTTGCCTCTGAGCCTTGACTTTATTTTATACCTACTCCCTAGCACTTTGGTTAAAAATATCATATCTCCAATAAGAATTTTTTTTTGAAAATTCAAAAACCAGGATTTCTTTTTCTACCAAGCAACTTAATATGGTTGAAAGCATTGACAGTAGAATCAGTGGCCATTTTCCGTAAAGGTCATAAACAAAGAGAATGTAGAACGTCTAAGAGCAGTGTTGTTTACTTCAGACTTCTGCTTATCCATTTTGGTTCATTCCCAAGGACATACTGATTTGTAACCATGTTGTAGGTATTCTTTTCTAATCTTTAAAAAATGAAGTAGTAAAAATAATTTCAGACCATTAGGCACAAAAGATTTAGAATACCACTCAGAGAAGGCATGAAAGTAAAATATCAGAAAATCCATTTGGGGCTGGGTGTGGTGGCTCACGCCTGTAATCCCAGCACTTTGGGAGGCTGAGGCGGTTGGATCATGAGGTCAGGAGTTTGAGACCAGCCTGGCCAACATGGTGAAACCCTGTCTCTACTAAAGATAAAAAAAAAAAAAATTCACCAGGCATGGTGGCACACGCCTGTAATCCCAGCCACTAGGGAGGCTGAGGCAGGAGAATCTCTTGAACCCAGGAGGTGGAGGTTGCAGGTTGCAGTGAGCTGAAATCACACCACTGCACTCCAACCTGGGTGACAGGGCGAGACTCTATCTCAAACAAACAAAACAAAACAAAACAAAACAAAACAAAACACCAAAGAAGATCCACCTAGGTCAATATAAGCTCCTAAATAGTTGACCATTATGAAGAGGAAACATGGGTTATAATGTTAAACATTTCAAGTCTTAGGGAAATCAAATAACTATATTGTTCATAACATTTGCTTTGACAAGTCAATACAACTTCATGATAAGTTCTTATATGTTCTTTTATGTAATAATCTATGAAATTGTCTGCCTCCTCCTTTATCGTCAGTGTACTTTGCGTTTACCATACACTACTCATTTTAAGTTTCTTCCTATTTGCCTAGTATCCTATAATATTTTTATCTCTGAATCTCAGTCATCATCATCTGACACTATATGCCTTCCTACCTTTAATTTTAACTTGAAAAAATTTATTTATTGTGTGTTTGTATGGCATTTAGCCTGTTTACATAATATCAAATAAGGTAATTTCAACCAAAACTAAACCAAGTCTTATAGCATCTTGAGAACAACGTACTTAGATAATCGGTTGAATTTTTTTTTCACATTTAAACAAGTATTTTTGGTTTCATGTAGACTCAGCCAATAAGTCATAATTCTGCAATTGGAAGGTATGTTTGTTTAATCTTTCATATTTCTGGGTGCCATTTATGTTCATTTTCTTAAGATCGTTTAATTGCTATTAAAGTTTTTACTTGTCTGTTCTTCAGAAAAAGGATACATTGGCTAGTAGGATAATTTTCTGAGCTGTTTTAAAAGTCTTTGCCGAGATGCAAACCCAAGTATCTACTCTGTGTGTGTGTGTGTGTGTGTGTGTGTGTGTGTGTGTGTGTGTGCGTGTTTTGTAGAGATGGGGTCTTGCTATGTGATCCAGGCTGGTCTTGAACTCCTGGCCTCAACTGATCTTCCTGCTTCAGCCTCCCAAAGCATTGGGATTACAGGCATGAGCCACTGTACCCAGTCACAATCTACAATTTAAAAAAAAAACATGTGGGTACTATCTATATTTTTAAAGAACCTCATGGCAATTCTTGACTTTTAAAAAACTTGAGGCACAAAAATAACTGTTCAAACTGAATTATACTTACTTTACATTTTTCCACTCAGGTCTGTCATTGTACTAATATTTTTTCTTGCACCTCTCTTGTATAACTAGGAAATTGATTCTTATTTAGAAACATTAACTCTGTAGGCCCCAACAGGCTTTGGTACTCTGGAAGAACTCATGGTTTTCTAAACAGAATTCATATTGCTCTCACACTTTCCATAAATATAGTAATTTATTCCATACACAAGGAAAGGATCATTTACCGAAGAGCAATATCTTTCTCTATCAAAATATTTGCATTTGATTACATAATGAAATACTATTATTTGCAAGATACTGTGATATGCCAGGCTATGGAGAGGTAAGGCTATGCCAGGCTATGGAGAGGTAAGGAAAAGTCAAGAAAATTCTAGTTTGGCACATAGGAGTAAAAGGAGAGACACAAAGTACTTTGTTGATTTAGCAAATTGCAAACAATCAGAAAAAAAAAACATTATGAATGCTACTTTTCTGGAATGTAACTTAGAGGGTTTGACTTTCTACATTTCTACTGATCTATTGTGTGCTGAGGTATATGAAGTGTTGAATAAGGGCCTGGTACTGTCCTTGGCATTAACAAACCCAAATAGGCCTAGGTAGAGGAAGGCAATTAGGTCTGGAAGGTGTTGAGGAGGGTTCTGGGAAGACAGATTCCAGATGGATTTGCATGAGTACACGTTTGAAAGGAAAAAAGTGAAAGGTATGTTTGGGCACCAAAAATTAGTCCAAATGAGTAGGGGCCTAAAGAATACATGGTGAGATATTGCTATAGAATTTTAGAAAGGTAGATTAGGGCCACGAGCTGGGTGTGGGCACATGATGCAGGTAAGTCTGCTGCCGCTGCTGTTGACTTTGTTATATCCCAGGAATTATGATCAACTCTCTGGAAAAAACATGTATTAGATTTCAAGTAAAAAAAAAATTCCATACTAACTTTTATTTTTCTCTCCTAGAGAAATATACCTACCTGTCACTAAAATACATGTCAAGTTACATAATCTGTTAAGGTGAGAGAGCATCCTAAGATATCACTATAATAGTGAAATGTATTCATAAATATTTTACTGATTTTTATTGATTGATTGAGAAGTAGAAACCACTGGTATATTAAAAAAAGTCTGATCGATTACTGTACAATAATTACTCAAATTTATGTATTTCTGTATCACTGAAGTGTAATATGATGAAGAGAAAATGAAATTGCTATGGGAAGCAGGAGGACATACTTAGACCTAGAGGACAGGGAAGACCTCTTTTAGGAAGCAACATTCAATAGAGATCTGAAGCATGAGCAGGAATTAGTTATAAAAAGTGGGGTGTGTGAGAATTGAGGGAGGGATTACACAGCATTCTGTACAATGCCTCAGAGGGGAAAGAGAAAAAGATTAAACAGCTAATAGTGGGAACCTCAAACAGGGGAGATGGTTGTTCAAGTTGAAGCTGAAGATGTAGGATGGGAATGTTTAAACTTCACCTGGAAGTGTGATGCCACATCACTGAAAATGCACCGAGTTAGAAAACAACACTTAACTTATTGACTCATAAAACTCAGAATCTAGGTACCTAAAGTTTCAAATAAAACCAAAATACCAAGAATGCATTATTAGATTAGATTAAGCAGATTAGAAATCAAAAAACTGTCTTTTCCTCATTTTCAGTACATTTAAGATGGAATTTTCTATAGATTGGAAGTAATTGAAAAGATTAGCTGTTCTTAATAAATGAAGCACACCTCACAGAAGAGTTTGGAAAAACATATCACCAGAGTTCCACATATCTAAGTGTATCTAATTCAGGACAAAGAGATCAAGGCCTGAATATTTAGATTTTTTTTTTAAGTTTTCTAGTTATTGTGATATGCAACTCTATTGACAACCATCCATCACTGTGAGAGCCTTTAACTCTCTGGACTGCAAAAAATTCAAGACCCAAGGTAACCTCAGTTATGGCATATAAGGTTCAGATGCATTTAATCCAAGTTCCTTCACACTTATATCTATAGCTGTAACAGCCTATAAAAATTGATGTTTACAAACATAAGCCCTATCACTATGAGATCATAAGAAACTCACCAAATATTATAGATTTTGTATTATACTTTCTTAGACAGAAAAAGAAATGTGGGCCGAGCACGGTGGCTCATGCCTGTAATCCCAGCACTTTGGGAGGCTGAGGCTGGTGGATCATGAGGTCAGGAGTTCGAGACCAGCCTGACCAACATGGTGAAACCCTGTCTTTACTAAAAATACAAAAATTAGCTGGGTGTTGTGGTACACACCTGTAATCCAGCTACTCAGGAGGCTGAGGCATGAGAATCACCTGGACCCGGGAGGCAGAGGTTGCAGTGAGCCGAGATCGCACCACTGCACTCCAGCCTGGGTAACAGAGCAAGACTCTGTCTCAAAAAAAAAAAAAAAAGAAAAGAAAAAAAAAAAGAAAAGAATTTTAATGCTTTTTGTAACAGCCAAAGGGAATTTTAGACTAACTGTAATTAACAAGACAACTTAGATAATCAAAAGCCTTCTGTTCTGTCTTTGAGTTACCTGATGATTTTCTCTATTAGAATGCCCTTACATTGAAGGATTTGGCATTATTTTATCATAGATTGCTTTTCTTCATCCTCTATTTTACATTCCTCCCCAATAGCTCATATCTACCTCTTATATTAGGCCAGCTAATTGGAAGCTTAATTGCTTACATAATTAATACAGGGCAAAAATAAGATACAGAAAACCTTTGAGTATGTGGAAATATGTATGTGCACACATTGCACACACACAAATATATATATATGTTTTAAGAAAGTGTAATTCTATTTTTCAATTTAATGATTTGTCATGAGCAACCTCTAGGAAAAGACACATATATTCTCCTTTTAATAGTTGCGTAAAATCCTATTGTGAGGATCTAGATACCTTTAACAAGACTGTTCTTTCTCTCTGCATCTAGTCTAACAACAAATAGCCATTTTATTTTTCTAGAAAATGTTTCTACCAGAAATAACTATTTTAATTGACAAAAAACCAATTGTACACCATTAATTATATAACTATGTTCATGTTAATGGAAGTGTTTATTTCAGATTTAACAAATATAAGTAATGGTGCAATAACCAACCCCCTGTATGTGGGTACTTACATCTTAGTGAGTTATTATTTATTTGTTTAAATTTATGGAGTACACATGCAATTTTGATACATGCATAATGGTCAAGTCTGGGCTTTTAGGGTATCCATCACCCGAATACCTTACATTGTAAGCATTATATCTTAGTGTTTTAAACATAGGATAGGTTAAATAAAGTAGGAGTACATGGTGAAGAATATGTGTATTTTTAAAAGTACCAGTTGCTACTACCTTCGTTTCCCTCAGGTACTTACTACCATCAGCAATGTACGAAAGTGCTTGTAGGCACACCAGTAGTGAACTAAATTTTTGTTTTGAAATGTATTTGAACTGATGAGAAAAAAAAATAGTACCTAGTTGGGTTTATTTTCATTTCCTTGAGTGCTAGGAAGCCTGAGCAAATATATAAAGTATTTATTGATGACTCATTTTCACCCTTTATTGTCTTGACTGTTCATACCTTTTGCTAAGTTTCTACTAGGAAGTTTCTTTTAAATATGTAGAATAATTTTTGTATAAGTAAACTATTTACCCTTTAGTATTTTTACTTAAAAATATTTTTTTCAAGCCTATACTTTTAGATTCTGGATATTAGTCCTTTGTTGAATGCATTTGCAAAAATGTTCTCCCATTCTGTATGTTGTCTGTTTATTCTGTTGATTGTTTCTCTTGCTGTGCAGAAGCTCTTTAGTTTAACTAAGTCCCCTTTGTCTATTTTTGGTCTTGTTGCATTTGCTTTTGTGGTCTTAGTCACAAATTCTTTGCCCAGGCTAATATTCAGAACAGTTTTTTCTAGGTTTTCTTCTAGGATTTTTATAACTACAGGTCTTACATTTAAATCTTTAATTCATCTTGAGTTAATTTTTGCACATGGTGAGAGGGAGAGGTCCAGTTTCATTCTTCTGCATGTGGGTTAGCCAATTTTCCTAACACCATTTATTGATTAGGGTGTCCTTTCCTCATTGTTTATTTTTGTTGCCTTTTTCAGAAATCAGTTAGTTGTAAATGTGTGGCATTATTTCTGGATTCTCAATTCTGTTCCATTGATCTATGTGTCTATTTTTGTACCAGTACCAGGCTATTTTGGTTACTATAGCTTTGTAGTATAATTTGAGTTTGGGTAATATGGTATCTCCAGCTCTGTTCTTTTTGCTGAAAATTACTTTGCCTATTTGGGTTTTTTTTTTTTTTTGATTCTACATTAATTTTAGAATTTATTTTTCTAATTCTGTGAAAAATGATCATAGGAATTTGATAAGAATTGTATTGAATCTTTAGATTGCTTCAGCAGTATAGTCGTTTTAATGATATTGATTCTTCCTTTCCATGAACACGGAATGTACTTCCATTCGTTTGTGTCATCTGCAACTTATTTAATTGGTGTTTTGTAATTTTCCTTGTAAAGGTCTTTCACCTCCTTGGTTAAATATATTCCTAGCTATTTTATTTGTGTGTGTGGCAATTATAAACGAGACTGAGTTCTTAATTTGGCTCTCCGCTTGAGCATTGTTGGTATACAGAAATGCAAGTGATTTTTGTGCATTAATATGTATCATGAAGTTCTACTGAAGTCATTTATCAGGTCTAAGAGTCTTTTGGAGGAATCTTTGGGTTTACTAAGTATATGGCCATGTCATCAGCAAACAGAGGTAATTTGACTTCTTCTTTTCCTATTTGGATGCCTTGTATTTCTTTATTTTGCTGAACTGACCTGGCTAGGGCTTTCAGTGCTATGCTGAATAGGAGTGGTGAGAGTGCACATCCTCGTCTTATTCCAGTTCTTAGGAAGAATTCTTTCAACTTTTCCCCGTTAAGTGTGATGTCGGCTGTGGGTTCGACATATAGAGCTCTTATTATTTTTAGGTATGTTTCTTTGATGCCTAGTTTGTTGAAGGTTTTTATCATGATGGGATGTTGGGTTTTATCAAAAGATTTTTCTGCATCTATCGAGGTAATCATATGGTTTTTGTTTTTAATTATGTTTATGTGGCAAATCACATTTATTTCCATATATTAAACGAAGAATGCAAGAATGCATCCCTGCAATGAAGTCCTTCAATTGATTGGAATGGATTATATTTTTGACGTGCTGCTGGATCCTGTTTGCTAGTATTTTGCTGAAGATTTTGGCATCTATGTTCATCAGGGGTATTGGCCTGTAGTTTCCTATTGTGTTCTTGCCAGATTTTTATATCAGGATGATACTGGTCTTATGGAATTAATTAAAGAGGAATCCCTTATCTTTAATTTTTTTAAATATTTTCAGTAATATTAGTACCAGATCATCTTTATACATCTAGTAGAATTCGGCTACGAATCCATCTGATCATGGGCTTTTTTGCTGTTGTTCTTGATAGATTTTTTTTTATTACTGATTCAATTTCATAACTCATCATTGGTCTGTTCAGGATTTCAATTTCTTCCTGGCTCAATCTTGGGAGACTGTATGCTTCCAGGAATTATCCATTTCCTCTAGATTTTCTAGTCTGTGTGCATAGAGATGTTCATGGTAGTCTCCTGAGGATCTTTTTTATTTCTGCGTTATCAAAAATACCACTGATTGCACTTGTTTGAATCTTATTTTTTTGATTTATTGGTTAATCTAGCTCACAGTCTATCAATTTCCGTTATCCATTCAAAGAACCAACTTTTTATTTCACCGATCCTTTGTATGATTTTTTAAAATCTCAATTTCATTTATTTATACTTTAATCTTTGTTTCTCTTTTTTTCTGTTGGCTTTGGGTTTGTTCTTATTTTTCTAGTTCCTTTAGGTGTGATGTTATATTATTAATTTTACATCTTTCTATGCTTTCCATGTAATCATTTAGCACTATAAACTTTCCTCTTAACACACTTTTGCTGTATTCCAGAAGTTTGGGTATATTGTGTCTCTATTTTCACTTGTTTTAATTTTTAAATTTCTGCTTTAATTTATTATTTACCCAAAAGTCATTTAGAAGAAAGTTTTTTAGTTTCCACGGGACTTCTGTGTTTTTGAGGGCTCCTCTTGTTATTGATATCTAATTTTATTTAACTGCGGTCTGAGGAGATGCTTGATATGATTTCATTTCTTTTGAATTTATTGATATTTTCTTCAGGGCCAAGCTTATGGCAAATTTTGGAGAATTTTTCATGAACAGATAAGAAAAAGATCAAGAGTCCAATTTGAGTCCTGAGTTTCTTTGTTGGTTTTCTGCCTTGATCTGTCTAGTGCTGTGAGTGGGCTGTCGAAGTCCCCCACTGCTATTGTATAGCTGTCTACCTCTTCTTAGGTCTAGTACTATTTGTTTTATAAATATGTGTGCTCTGGTGATCAGTGCCTATGTATTTAGGAAAGTTAAATCTTCTTGTTTATTTCCTTTATCATTATATAATGCCCTTCTTTGCCTTTTTCTACTGTTTTTGGTTTAAAGTCTGTTTTATCTAATAGTCTTGGTTGACTTTGTTTTGTGTTAAGAAGACTAAAATAGGCCCCCAATCTCTTCTGGCCTGTAAGGTTTCTGCTGAGAAGTGTGTTGTTAGTCTTATGGGATTACCTTTATATGAGAGGTAATTTGGTTCTTTTCTCTAGCTGCCTTTAAGATTTGTGTGTGTGTGTGTGTGTGTGTGTGTGTTGACCTTAGATATTGTGATGACTATATAACTTGGTGAAGGTTGTTTTGTATATCATTTAGCGTGTGTTTTCTGAATCTCTTGTATCTAGATATTGACTTCTCTAGCAAGATTAGGCAAACTTTCCTGAATTATTTCCTCAAATATGTTTTCTAAGCAGCTTACTTTTTATTCTTCTCTCTTAAGAATGCCAATAAGTCATAGGTTTTGTCACTGTACATAATTGCATATTTCTTAAAGATTTTGTTCAATTTTAGAATTTAAAAAAAATTTTTGTCTGTGTTAATTCAAAAGAATGCTATTCAAGCTCTGAAATTCTTCTCGGTCTAGTCTATTGTTAATGCTTTCAACTGTTTATTGAAATATTTTAGTGAATTTTTCAATTTGAGAAGTTATATATTATATATGTCATATATACAGTCATATACATTATATACATAAGTATATTTATAATACAGTTATATATGTTATACAGTTATATATATAAGTATATATTATATATGTATGTTTAAAATATAGCTATCTCATCTTTCATATTCTGAATTGTTTTTCTGGTTTCTTTGTGTTGATTTTCAACTCTTTCTTGGATCTCATTGAATTTCCTTACAATCCATATTTTGAATTCTTTATCTGTCTTTTCAGAGTTTGCTTTAGGTTAGTAACCATTGCTAGAGAGTTATGTTCATATAGAGGTGTTGAGATACTGTCTTTTTGTACTGCCAGAGTTCTTGCACTGATTCTTATCTGAGGGAGGTATTACTTCTTATTTTTAATTTTATTATCATTTGGATGGGATTCTTTTATTTATTGTTTTCTTCAGGGCGTGGCTGTGTTGAATGCTATGTATAATCCTTTAATTTTGTTTATTTGTTTCTGAGTGCTTTCAGGGAGCCCAAGGCTCTGTATGGGTTCCTTATGGATAGTTTCTGTGTGGTGGCTTTCTCAGATGCTTCTTGTTGTAGTGGTGTATTGGACATTTAAGCTGACACTCTGTCTCTTGAGGGGCTGAGCGTGGGGATGTTTTAGCAAGCTTGTCTCATGCACTAACACTATGCCATTTTGGCAGCAGGTTTTTTTTTCATTTGGCATTGCAATTCAGGCTTCAGTCTCCAGTAATTGGCACTCTAGAGTAAGAGCCAGCTCTCCTTTGTGTAGACTGATGATCATTGGTCACACTCTTCCTGACAGTGGGAGAAGGGTTGCAAGGGGGGTTCATGTTGGGGTGCACTGAAGTTTCAGGGGAAAGAGTTAGTGGGTGTGCACCAGTTCCTCATCCTGAGCAGGCAGGAACCTAATTGCATCCCTGGTGCAGGGCCCATGACCTTTAGTTCAAATAGACTTTATCCTTCGGCTCCTGGCCACAGTGTAGCTTCAGCCCATGGACACACGTTTCTCCTTGGCTACCACCAACATGGGCTCAGGTTGGAGCCTCTTTCCCCAGTGCAGGGCGGACAACTCTGTGGTTTGCCCGCCATCCTTTGCTGGGAGGCTGCCACTCTGTGTAGGGAGTGGGAGTTGGACTCCACCCTTTGTGCAAGTCCAAGCAGTGCAGGCTCACTTTCGATGGAGGTGGAACTACCACAAAAAGCATGAAAAGTACTTTCTCCACGTATTGGCCCCCAGCAGGGAAAACCTCTACTGTGTTCACAACAGTGCACTGGTTGGGGGAGATGACCCCTCTGTGTCCATTCTTGGCTGGCGGTGCCACCCTCTTCAGTGATTGGCAGTGCACTTGTCTCTCCTTTGTCCCCAGGGAAGGTTTGTCAGGCTGTGTTTCCAGCTCTCTTAGGGGCGGCCCACACCAAGGGTTAGGTTTGGGAGTTTGCAGTTTCCTGGGGACCTGCCGATCCCCTGTGATTGCCAAAGTTAGAACAGGTTGTGGTGTATGTTTGAGTGTGTGAAGGGGGGTCTCATGATGCCACGACTCAAGGGCAAAGCAGAGTAGAGGTCCGCCACAGGTGGCACGCAAACAATATGGTGTTTGCTGTTTTAGTGCAGGCCTGAGGAGTGTGGACATAACTATGAGTACTGGCCAGCTGTTTCTCTGTCACTGGGAACTCCCAAATTGCGAATGACAGTGTTGCCCAGGGTCATTAGGGCAGAGGGGCTCCCCAACAGTTTGGCAGTTAGCAGACAGTCAAAGGGGCAAGGGAAGCAGAGAAACACCCCACCTTCCCTTCCTTCTGGGCTCCACATTCCTTGGAGGTCAATCACTGTCATACTCTTGCTTTCTTTTTCTGCACTTCAGCTTCTTCCCATACGCGCTCTGACAGGTCCTGGCTCTCTTTCCTCAGTTTTCCATTTGGAACATGTGCATTCCCCAGTAACTTTTATCTTCTTTCTGAGGAGAATTTTCACCCAATGTTCCTACTAATCCATCTTAAAAAATAAAGGCTTAGTTAAATATTTCTGGTTTTATTAGATACAATCAGAATGTGGGACATAATATAGTTTTTTATTTTATATTAAGCTTTTCTATGTGAAGGTGTGCACACATATGCACACACACATATACATACACATACCATTTTGTAGCTAAAAGAGGTAAAATATGTTATTCGTTGCCAGTATAAATAGCTTTACATTGAAGATATTCTATTTTCCAATTCTGAATATTTGGTATATTAAGATTAATCTTAAAACCATCCTGCCACAGACATTTAGAAATAATGGATAAAGTATGCTTTGTCCAGTTATAATCATTTCAGTACCCTGCTGAGCTTGCAAGTAAGAAATCCCCAATCACCCTAACTAGAAACAATGTGAACCGAATAGTATAGTAGTGGATACATAAATTCACTCCGGAACTGATCTGGGTGTTAGAGGAGGAATCAGTCCTTGTAAGTAAGGAATTGAGAGAAAAACAATGTCCTTGGGACCCTATTAGGTCTGAGCTCACAGTAAATAGGTAGACTAAAAACAAATCTGCATCATTGGAAAAATTCTGGACTATAGTATACTCTCCTTAACCACAGGGGATTTCAACACCCCCAGTGGATGCCTAAAACTGTAGGTGGTACTGAACTCTGTACATACTATGTTTTTCCTAAACATGTATGATAAAGTTTAATGTGTAAATTAGGCACTGCAAGAGATTAACAAAAGTAACCAATAATAAAATAGAATTATAACAATATACTGTAATGAAAGTTATGTGAATGAGTTCTCTCACCCTCTCTTAAAATATCTATTGTACCATAATCGCCTTTCTTCTTATGATGATGTGAGATGATAAAATGCCTGTGGGATGAGATGAAGTCAGGTGAAATGCATAGGCACTGTGACACAGAGTTAGGTGACTACTGACCTTCTGATAATATGTTGGAAAGAGGGTCATCTGCTCTGGGTTATTCTGGATCATCTAGCAATGACAACATCAATGGTTGGATGTCAAGAAGAGACAACGTTGATGCGTAACAAGTGGGTAGTGTCTACAGCATGAATATGTTGGACAAAGGGATGATTCATGTCCTCGGTAGGACAGAGCAGAACGGCATGAGAGTTCATGATGTTACTCAGAATAGCACACATTTTAGAACTTATGAATTGTTTGTTTCTGGAATTTTTCATTTAATAATTTTAGACTGGTTAACTGCAGGTGTCTAAAACAGAAAGCAAAGCTGTGGATAAGCAGGTACTACTCTTTTCATTTCTTCCAGGTCTCAAAGGAGAAAAATGAAATTCTCCCACGCAATTTAATAAATCAGGTTCTGAGTCCTGCACTAACATGGAGAGTGCATTACTCTGGAGGAATAGTCAAGTTCTTCCCTTTCCAAGATTCTACCTTTAAAAGTCAGGTCTAGGGTGGTAAAACTCCAAGGGCTCTGGCAGAAGCAAATGCCATGCTATTTTGGATGATCACATTTCTCACCCAAGTCACAAAGAATTAAATAGATATAAGAGGCCACTCAAAAGTTGAATGTGTACTTTAAAAATTACAAACCCGTTCACCGAGAAGCAATCTACCTGGAACAAGAGAAAACAGACGCACGTAGAAGAATTAGAAACCCCCAAACATGAACTGATCCTTAACAAATGAAACAGCACATTAAATGAGTATGTTAAATTATTTAAATACATTAAATAAGACATCAAACCAGGTACTGTGAAACACTAGGCCTCTCACATATCTTGTGATATGATTTACTCTGAAAAATAGCATATATGTGTTATCAATGAGTAAGTCAAAGAGAAAATAGAAAATTGTGATGTAAACAGGATGATAGATCTGAGGAAATTACAGAAATGAAAAGTTCTAAATATTTAATTAAAAAGGGTTTTAAGTGGTTATAATAGAAGGAGCCAAAAATAAAAGAGGCAATATTTGAAAACATAGTGACTTTGATTTTTTTTCAAAAGTTGATAAAGACAGTAATCTTCAGAATCAAAAAACACAGTGAGAGTCAAGAAGTTAAATTTAAACAAATCCACACATGGATACATTATAATAAAACTGCATAATACAATTAAAAAAACACACAAAAGACTCATAGCAACTAAAGAGAAGGGAATGTTTACTTATACAAGAACAAATTGAATGTCATTTAATTTCTCAAAAGAAACAATAGAAGCCTGGAAAGAAATAGAAAAAGGAAAGAAAAGGAAGGAAGGAAAGAAGGAATGAAAGAAGGACGGAAGTGATGAAGAGATGTAAAGGAAGGCGAGGGAAGAGGAGGGAGAGGAGGGCTTGTAGGGGGAGGGAAGAGGAAAAGAAAAAGAAGAGAATAAAATAAAATGAATATCTTGAAGAAAAGTATCTGTTACCCTGTAGTTCTATAGCTATATAATATTGCAAACTCCAAAACAATTTTTAGACACAGGCCAGTTTCCTACTCCCAAAACTTTATTACAATCCTAAATGTGCATGGTAAGCATATTATTATCAATGCTTCAACCTCTCTCTGTTATAAAATTATATTGCAGTTTCCTCCACTACAGGTGAGATACCTTTCCCTGCCCAGGAACTTTGAGGTTACCCATGTGACTCGCTTTGGCCAATGACAAGTGACATAATGCAAGCAGAGGTTTTAAATGTTCTTGTGTGGTTTGGCTTGCCTCTCGTGCTCCTGCTAACACCATGAAGCATATAAGCTCCAGGTTTTCTGCTCCTTTAACCTGGGCCCAGTAATGATACATATGGAACACACTTGACCAGAAACACAGAGTAAAACCCATCTCATTCACACTCTGAAGCAAAGATGCCCTGAATGACCCAGGTTCAGGAATTAGAAAAGTAAATATTGTTGTAGGACATTGAAGTTATTGGAGAAATTGCTGATTAACACAGTGTGTTTCAGGAAGATGGAAAGGGACCTTGAACACAACAAAAGGAGTGGAATGAAGAAATGATGGTGGGCAAATATTTGGTGAATATTTGAGAAAATTCAAACAAACATGAACTTCATAAGACAACAAAATAATTTGTTATAATTTGTTATGATTTGACAACAATATTATTTGTGTCATATGAGAAGGGGATAGAAATGCAATTCTATGTAGGCCAAGCCACAAAGGCTGGTTTTAAATTAATAGTAACAAAATATTGGATATTACCAAGTTTACCTGCAAACCAGCAAGAATACAATGTAATATTATGCACATGTGAGAATATTCCTGGACAGCGGTGCACATGGGATTAACTTCCTGGTACATCCTTTATTGCTCTCAAAGTCATGGCCAAAGCTCAGTGTCTATGCTGCCTGTATTAAACTAGGATTCAAGGAATTAGAGGCACACAGAAGCACATGCTTACAGCTTTTTATTTGAGGTAATGGGGTAGGCTTATTTAAGGAATTTAAGGATTCATATGATTAGAAGATATTTTTGCTGCAACATAGTAACATTACACATTTTTTGCACTATATTTTCTGCTGAATTACCTGGCTTACGTGAAGTTTGAGGACAGCTGATCTAGAAAGAGTCTACTTCTAAATCAATCCTGACATTCTCAGGATATGAAATTTAAGGCAGCTAATAATTAATGAAAAGACATACACTTACATTTGTTCCTTTTAATTTATGGTTAAAATTGAGGCTTTCTCACTTAGAAGCTTCTTATTTGCTTCTTATTTGCCAATTTTATCCTTCTTTTAGCTTTATCATGATTATGTTTGTTTTCTTACAAATTCTTGTTAATTTAGCTATCTATTCAGTCTAGTGATGATTTTCCCCTTTTCCCCAAAGTTATAATTAAATTATATTTATGTATTAATGCACCAACATTAAATTATGACTGTATACCACTCTCACTCTAAAGCAAGGCATTATACTTCCAGATCCACTTCCCTACAAGATGAGAACTTAAGATAACTGTACATCCATTCCAAACCCTGAGTTTACTTGATATAATTTAGTTATTTGGCTCTAGTTATAAAATGTTTCATCTGTTTCAAATAATCTCATAAAGAAATAAAAATTTCTAAGTCATATTTTCATCATACATTTATATTTCACTATGTACAATCAAATTAAAATTGAGTATTTTTATTGACTACAAATTAGAATATATTTTATAGTATGAATTTGTGTACCTTTTCTTAGAGTACATTCGCAGTGCATTCTTGTCTTCTATGGTTTCCCCTCAACAAAGAATGACACGTTTTAAGCTGTACAGAATATTTTAAAATTCATTTATTTTCTTTAAGCAGTCTTTATTATTTTATCATTTTCAAGCTTGCAGTGCTGCACATGAGAAATGTAATTTTTTTCTGGATTCTTGCTTCTTTGCATATAATGTGTTCTTTCTGTAAGTAATCTTATATAATTTTTTTTTTATTCTTGGGGCCCAAAAGTGCCTCTAGGATATAGAGACCAGTACTGTTTAGATCAGTACTGTTTAGTTTTAGTGCTATTTAGATTCAGTAAATTTCAGTACTGTTTAGATTCAGTAAACCCTTTCTACACTGAAGTTTGAACCTCAAATTACTTTTCACGTTAAAAGTATATTATTTATAATAATAAACACTAAAATTTTAATAATTTATTTTGCTCTATCTTTGCCTTCTGTCTGGAATTTTTATTATTTACATTACTGGTTTCCTTGATCTATCCATAAGTTTTCATTTGTGAAATTATTTTCTTTTTTCAGACCTCTGCTATAAGGTGTTTTCTTCATATGATATGCTAGAATTTTAATTTGTCCTCAGCAATGTTTTTTTCTGTCCTCATTTGTTACATGTTTATATTTGAAAGTCATATATTTAGAGCTATAAATTAATTTCTGTGTTTTTATTGTATCATTCTGACATTTCATTTTTTTTGGTTAAAATTTTTGTTTTTCACTTTTATTGTTTAAGCTCCATAGGTACCACATGTCCTAGTTGTTCATCTTGATCTTTATGCTTCACATGGCTGAAGCTTCTTAGAAGGATTATATAATGTATTTAAATCTACTCTTGGTTATGTATTTCATCAGCAGGTATAGAGATCAGGCTCTTCAGTGTCATGTCTTGTGGTATACAATGGAGGCTACCGCTATGGTTATATTCGTCTGTTGGTTTTTCTTTGGAATTAATTAAGTAATTATTCATTTAGTGGATCTGTGAACCTTTTGCTAAGGCATTAGGGACAGACTTCTTCTCTTTTCTAGGTTTTTCTACATATACTCAGGGAAGAGGCATTCCCACCCTAACCTCATGTATCAGGACCAGTGCATTTCATATGAGCAGCTCCTCTGCAGATCTAGTAGTGTTAGCCAGTCAGGCAGGTTTTCCAAGTGCCTCCCACAACAAGACAGCTGGTGAAGCCTCTCTCTGGGCAAATTCAATAGCCCTTGCCATCTGCGCTCTTTAGAGCCATGAATTCCCTATTTGTACCCCATAGGAAAAGAAAGAATTTTCCTCTGCTGCTGGTCCCATACCTCCCACCCAGCACCCCTAAGATAAAATCTCACAATAGAAAAGCAGAAGGAAATCCTGCTCTGTTGGCCTATGTAGTCTGAAAAAATATTAACACAGCTTCAGTTACATACCATTTGGAACACACCATATGCTGAACCATGATAATTAGCCCAACTTGGATACTGAAAAATCTGAAGCTCTGTAAATTTTGGATAATGTCAAGAAAAGGGAGAAGAAAGAGGAAACAAAACCAGAAAACATATGCTAGCAAAGCACTAGAAAGTTAAATGATGGAAGGCCAGGACCATATTCAAAATTATTGTGAAGAGAGAATGTTTGCCTTTTCTTGATGAATATTTTTTAAATTTACAGATTGTACTAGGTTTTAATGTTACAAGTTACACCTGCTGGATAAAATATTTTGCTTTTACTTGTTTCAGTATCCTATTTTAGGAAATTCAAAGTTCAAAGGAATTTCATTTCACTGGGGATAAAATACAACTAATGGAGGAACAAAAGATCAACATCTCACCCCTATTCTTCTGTTTTTTTTTTCTGTTTATACAATTAAAATGAAATTAAAATATCTCTAATAGTGTTCACATGTTTATATAGTCATAACTTGGTCTCTTTTATACACAGGCCTGATGAGTTATTATAGAAAAATTTATATGCCCAAACTGTTTAAAATGATTTCTTTGCCCATATAGGAGGACATCTAGTCTTTATTCTAAAACAGGCCAAATCTTATATATGAGGCTTTAGATTACTGTTTGAAAACATAAATGTAAACAATGTAAAAACATCAACTTACAGATTTTGAAATTCAATACCAACACAAATATAGATATCTTTCAAAAAGTTAGTGTTTTGTAATACAGTTCATACGTGCTTTGAATTTAGACAGTCTAGAGCTAAAGAATTCCTTCTTTACCTAGAGATTAGCTGCACGGTTCTGTTGAATGCAGGTCCTGGGCCCTCAGCACCAGCCACATGTATTCTGATTTAGTTGATCTACAATATGATACAGATGGTTCATGGAGGGGTGACCACACAATTTGTTGTTTGAATTGAGTCATTTTTGAAAGTCAAAGGAGAGGCATTAACATTTATAAGGCAAATCTGGTAAATCACACTGCATGGTCACACACAGACTACAAACTGAGAAACCTTGCTTTACTCAAGGTGTTGTAAAGTGACTTCTGGTGTGTTATGGAAATCAAATACACAAATACAAAAACTAAATAGAAAAATATAATGCTGTGGAGTAGTGTTTCAAGGTGTATCTTCTTCTTTTTCCCTTTCTTGCACTGGAAAAAGCAGAAGGACTCATTGAGTGCCACCCTTGTGCCTATACAAAACGAGGCTGCTCCAGATGGATGCTGCAGCTCTTCCCCTGTCCTGTTCTGAGCACCCACCTTACTACTCACAGCTGCCTCTTCTCTAGAGGAGCATTATACTGCCTTAAAGCTCTTTTCTGATTTCTTCCCAAAGTTTAAAAAATGTTGAGATACCATCAGCACTCACTGACTCGAGAGATACTCTTTGATCTATACAGAAATAGTGACAGTGCCCCTTTCCCAGCCTCTGGGCCCCAAAATAACCTTATCTATGTCCTCATCATCAGCAACTCTCCACATTTCATTCCAGCCTGGAATTCCTAGGCTCAAGTAATCCTCTAGCGTCAGCCTCCCAAATAGCTGGGACCACAGGCGCATGCTACCATGCGCAGCTACATTTTTTAGTTTTTATTTACTGTAGAGACTGGGTCTTGCTGTGTTGCTCAGATTAGTTTCAAACTTCTGGCCTCAGCTGATCCTCTTGCCTTGGCTTCCCAAACTGCTGAGATTACAGGCATAAGCTACTGCACCCAGCCATATTTTAAAGCTAAATAGGGTTCAGTTTATTCCCTCAAGACATTAATATTTTACTAGAAAAATATTTTTAAACAAATAAAAACAATATAAAATTGAATAGGAGAAAAGTAACAAAGTTTTATGAGATTTTTATAGAAAAAAATGCATCTTCAGCTGAAGGGTGAGGATAAGAAAAGTACTTAGAAATACTAGGTTTTTGTTTTTTGTTTTTTGTTTTCTTTTTGAGAC
Source organism: Homo sapiens (assembly GCF_000001405.40). Lineage (NCBI taxonomy): Eukaryota > Metazoa > Chordata > Mammalia > Primates > Hominidae > Homo > Homo sapiens. Next base: position 52,388,848 of record NC_000002.12, read on the forward strand.
AGAGTCTTCCTCTGTGGCCCAGGCTGAAATGCAGTGGTGCGATCTCGGCTCACTGCAACCTCCGCCTCCCATGTTCAAGCAATTCTCCTGCCTCAGTCTCCAGAGTAGCTGGGATTACAGGCGCCCACCACCATGCCCAGCTAATTTTTGTATTTTTAGTAGAGACAGGGTTTTTGCATGTTGGCCAGGCTGGTCTTGAACTCCTGATCTCGTGATCCACCCACCTCGGCTTCCCAAAGTGCTGGGATTACTGGCATGAGCCACCGCACCTGGCCTAATAATAGGATATTTAATATAAGTTATGAAAAATGGGTTAGATGCTGGGAGGATGGCCGTGCTAAACACAAAAATAAAACAAAGAACTGTCATGGAAAAGTAAGTTGAGGTTCCTCTTCAGGTAATAACAACTACTATTAATTTGTACTTACTAAAGCATCAAGCTGATTACTGAGCAGTAAACAGATTATGCAAGAGTAGCTTTGAATGAGTAAAGACAGCCACATATTTGTGCACAGGTTTATTGTTTTTCAAAGTGTTTTCTGCCACCTCGTATACTTGGCTTTCTGTTTACACTTTCAGAAAAAAGTACATTTTTAGTAAAATTCTATTTTGCAGTGTGAATCTTTTTGTGTTCCTTTCCAAGTTTGGAAGCAGAAGAGAGACAACGGAGTAGGCAGATGGAGAAACAAATATTGACTTTATTACTAAATAAATCTGGTATTGGAATAGGATTCCTAAAGCTGAGTCCCAAAATGAGACTGATTTGCTGTTCTAACAGAAACCAGAAGATTCAGTGAGAAGCGTCAGAAGCATCTCCCTAACATGAGAAATGAAACTTTTGAAAACATCACCAAAGTTGTTCCTGTCTTGTACTACAGGGCTCTCTCTACTGACTGGAGATCTCAGGAGAAATCATGACTCCTTTCGCCTCACCTGGCTGAACCACCTGGATGTCTTTCCATCATTCTCTGTCTATTATTACCCTATAGAATGACCTTCTTTCTTATATGTGTTCAGGAAGGGCAAAAAAAAAAATCTCCTAGATGTATTTCTCTCTTTTTAAAAACTGTAAGTACTCAGAACAATACCAAGAAAAATACAAAAGCAAAGCTTTTTATAGCTAATTAGAAACTTCCTTGCAATTCTGAAGTGTATGTGATATTGTGTATTGTTACAATAATACACAATATTATTAAAGTATATGTGATATTATGTATTGTTTACCCTGTGGTGCTATATATGAATTTGTGTATGAAGCTATTCTTTACATTTTAATGAAATGTCATCAATATATAGAGAAAATAATTTTCCTAGGTATCACTGGAGATTCAAAATTTACCTCATATGAATACATTATTTTAGGGGACAATATTTATGCAGCCAGATAGAGAATAAATTGGCTAGAAAGATTGGGATGAGCAGGCATTAAACATCACATTCAGCTCTTAGTGCCCGAATTTCAGACTATTTTCAGGGACGGCATTACTAAAGGACTATTGCAGAAGAATAAGAGACTATACCAGAAATGGAAAAGAAAGCTGGCTTTTTTTTTTCCCCGGCATAAGTTTTATCCTACCTATAACGTGATTAAGCATCAATGTTACCTAAGGAGTTGTTGATACAGTACTTATGTTGAAGCCTCATTCCTGACCTAGTAAATGATTTTTTTCCCTGCAAGTGGGAGTATTCAGACGGAGAAATTATGGAGTCTTGCCTGTTTAGGTTTGAAGATTTTAACTTGTGTGCTCAGTCTCAAAACATATAGAAACTATTGAAACACTTCTCGTATTCCCTAATCCAAAGTCAACTTCCTGCCTGGTTTTCTATAACTACATCCAAACCTTCTTAACCCTGAGTAAACTCATTGTATTCACATGTAGATATTTTTCTCTCATATTTTTAAGAGTCATCAGTTAATACCACCATTGTTTTATTTAAAAGTGAGACTCCCACTATGTTCTTTATGAGTAGTTCATACTCTTGATTTAATCCCCAAATCCTCTGGCATCTTTCCCTGCAATCTGAAGTTGGAGAAAACTATAGTTACTGAGTCACATTAAAGCTATGACAGTTCACATTTGATTTTCACCTCATTTTACAGATGCACAGCCTGAGAACTATCTAGTAATTCTGAATCCATTGCATCTTCTATGGGCAATTCAAAATACTCTGACTTGGGCATAGTTAGTGAATCATGTTTGGACATTTGGGAGGAACACCACATATCATTCAGCAAGATCCATTTGAAGTTTCCTTTTAGGTGTTAATGACTTGGAGTTGTAATTTTACCAGCCACTGTCTTCAGCCCAATGTTGGGAGATGAAGTGCGTGTTTTATGAAACAAATTATGATTTTTTATTTCTTAAAAAGTTATACTTCTTTGCCTGTCTTTTATCATTCCCCTGAAAATAATTATGAAGTTCTCTTTTGTAGAATTTTTCAGGATGTTGCTTTGAAATTAGAAAATGCTATCACACCTTGAAGATTCTACACAGACTATGCATACAAATACATTATTTGCTGTTGTGTGTCTACCCTGAAATGTCGGTTTTGATCACACTAAGTTTTTCTTAGCCTGACCTATGTAAATCAAAAACAATATAATTCTCTCTCAACCCTCAGAAAATACGTGCATGAGTATCTCTAGATAATTTGGATAATCAAAGTACTGACTAATGGTGGAAAGTACAAAAAACATGATTATGAAGAATGCATCAATTTGACTATTCCTTTGCTTATCATGCTTCTGCAAATTTACAGTATCTATGGTTCTTGTTTCTCTTTTACCAAGACAGTTACCAGCATTTAATAAAGTAAGTCTCATGCTGAGAGAACTTCGTGTGTGTGTGAGTGTGTGTGTGTGTGTGTGACAAAGTGATGATCTGCAAAATCCCTATGACACTTGGCACTGAGGATGCTGTCCATATGTTTCTGTTTTGTTTGCTAAAGTCTCTTTGTGCAAACCTGAGGACATCTTTCCTAAATATACTCCCTTGTGATTTCCTGTTACCAAGAAATTCTGAAATCACAAGGAATTCAACATAGCCTTCTCATGAAGCTAAATATATCTTACAATTTTGAGATTCTTTGTGAATCCACTCAACAGTGAACTTATTCTTCATTTGCTGAAGGCTGAATGGTCTCTCTGGAAGTCAGAACAGGAGCAGTGGTGCACAAATCTCTGCTCTGTTATTCCTTTTATTTTACCTTCTATGAAGGCAGCATTCTCACTGACATACTTAAAATGCCAAATCAAAAGTGTTTCCTCTTTTGTCTTTCTTTGGTCACATAAAAATACATTTTAAATTAAAAGATAGCATTTCAAGATCCTTTTTTGTGATGTGGTTAATGTATGTATATGAAATCTTTAAAATACACTGAAATAAAGGAAAATTTGTTTTCTTCTCTTTTATGATTATGTAAAACATTTTCTAAAGAAAACTTATCAGGAACCCTCCAGGAATATTTATTAATGTTCATTTTCTTCATGGAAATTTGTAGGAGTCAATATGTCTAAGAAGGACTTATTTATAATGACTAATGACTATATTATTAATGGATTATTCAGTGGTACTACTTGGTTCTTAGGCATTACATCACCATACAAACAGCAACTTCTTATTAAACTTATTAGAAGTGAACTCTTTTAGTAAAGAAATCTCAGATAAATATATTGTACCATATCTAGTAAAGAAATCTCAGATTATTAGATATCAGTTACATATATATGTATGTGGTTGGGGAGTGGTGCAAGGGCAGAAATTTCTGAAACTAAATGTTATTGTTCAGGAGTTTTTCCAAGAGTAAGTGCATTTCTGTATTCCTGTATTCCATTCTCATGCTGCTAATAAAGACATACCAGAGCCTGGGTAATTTATAAAAGAAAGAGATTTAATTGACCAAGTTCAGCATGGTTGGAGGCCACAGGAAACTTACAATCATGGCGGAAGGCAGAGCAAAAACATCCTTCTTCGCATGGCAGCAGCCAAAAGAAATGCCAAGCAAAGGAGAAAAGCCCCTTGTAAAACCATCAGATCTTGTGAGAACTCAGTCACTATCATGAGAACAGCAGCATGAGGGTAACTCCCTCAATTATTCAATTACCTCCCACCATGTCCGTCTCATGACATGTGGGATTATAGGAACCACAATTCAAGATGAGTTATGAGTGAGGACACAGCCAAACCATATCGTTCTGCCCCTTGCCCCTCCCAAACATCATGTCCTCACATTTCAAAACACAATCATGCGCTTCCAACAGTCCCCTGAAGTCTTAACTCATTCCAGCATTAACTCAAAAGTGCAAATCCAAAGTCTCATCTGGGACAAGGCAAGTCCCTTCTACCTATGAGCCTGTAAAATCAAAAGCAAGTTAGTTACTTCCTCGATAAATGGAGGTATAGACATTGGGTAAATACACTCATTCCAAATGGGAGAAATTGGACAAAGCAAAGGAGCTATAGGCCCCACGCAAATCTGATATGCAATAGGGTCAAAACAAAGGGGCTACAGGCTTCTTGCAAGTCTGATATGCAATAGGGCAGTCATTAAACCTTAAAGTTCCAAATGACCTTCTTTGACTCCATGTCTCACATCCAGGGCATGCTGATGAAAGAAAGAGGTGCGCTCCCATGGCCTTAGGAAGCTCCTCCCCTGTAGCTTTGCAGGGTACTACAGTCCCCCTCCCAGCTGCTTTCAAGGGCTGGTGCTGAGTGTCTGTGGCTTTTTCAGGCACACAGTGCAAGCTGTCAGTGTATCTACCATTATGGGGTCTAGAGGATGGTGGCCCTCTTCTCACAGCTCCACTAGGCAGTGCCCCAGTGGGGATTCTGTGTGGGGGCTCTGACCCCACATTTCCCCTCCATACTGCCCTAGCAGATGTTTTCCATGAGGACCCCATGGTCCTCTTGAAAACTTTGCCGCTTAGAAATTTCTTCCACCAGATAGACTAAATACACTTTCTCAAGTTCAAAGTTCCATAGATCTCTAGGGCAGGGACAAAATGCCCTCAGTCCCTTTGCAGAGCAAGAGTAACCTTTACTCCTGTTCCCAAAAAGTTCCTCATCTCCATCTGAAACCACCTCAGCCTGAACTTTATTGTTCATATTACTATCAGCATTTTGCTCAAAGCCATTCAACAAGTCTCCAGAAAGTTCCAAACTTTCCTACATCTTCCTGTTCTATAAGCCTTCTAAGACTCTAGGAAGTTCCAAATTTTCCCACATTTTCCTGTCTTCCTCTGAGCCCTCCAAACTGTTCCAGCCTCTGCCTGTTAACCAGTTCCAAAGTCGCTTCCACATTTTTGGGTGTCTTTACAGCAGCACCCCACCCTCTACAGAACCAACTTACTGAATTAGTCTACTGTCATGCTGCTAATAGAGACATACCTGAGACTGGGCAATTTACAAAGAAAAGAGGTCTAATTGACTCACCATTCAGCCTTACTGGGGAGGCCTCAGGAAACTTACGATCATGGCAGAAGGGGAAGCAAACATGAAGGACTCCCAAGAAAAAGGGGAAAGCCCATTATAAAACCATTAGATCTTGTGAGAACTCAGTCACAACCACGAGAGCAGCTGCATGGGGGCAACTGCTCCCATGATTCTATCACCTCCCACTGGTTCTCTCCCATGATACATAGGAATTATGGGAACTAAATTCAAGACAAGATTTTGGGTGGAGAAACAGCCAGACCATTTCAATTCCTAAACTCATCAATTAACCACTTCTTGATGAGTCAGGTCCACATTTCTCTACATGATCAAAACAAATGATACACTCAGAGTCTAATGAATTATGAATAATTTTTGTATGCTAATTTATACTATGTTAGATTTCTTTTTTTATTCATCTAGTTATTTCTGCTTCTGTTATATTGTTTCCTTAGGCATTTATCTCACTTTTGATTTTTTTTTTTGTTTTACATTTGATTTGATAATCAGATAGCCCCCAAATTAGAATATTTGTAAAAATTGTGTAAATAGGCATGAAGTGAGCACTTGTACTTTTAAGGAACAGTTTTACATATGTTTTTACAGTTGAAAAATTATTTTTTACTTACTTTTTGGAGGATAGTTGAATATGCCAGAGATATGACATAGTAGCCATTCAGGCTGTCCACAAACACTACAGTTCTTCTAGGCATAGTAATATTGTGCCTTCTCAACACCTGAAGTTATATGTGTTTGGGAGACAGTTGGCTAACAAAATGTAAGCAGTAGAAATATGTGTCACTTTCAGGCCAAAGTTCTAAGAGCCAGTGTGAGAACACATTCTCTTACCACTTACTGTGGTTGATCATGGAGGTAGGTGTCAAGATGAGGTCACTGGGTCTCTTGAGTGACTCTAATAAGCACAGTCTCCAACAAAACTATGGTGGACATGGAATACAACCAACAAATAAACCTTTGCCTTTATAAGGAACTGAGACTTGAGTTGTATGTTACCAATAAATTGAAAATAAATTATAAATTAAACATCAGTATGAGAAGCCATTTATTCACAGCTGTTGCCTTCTTAACAGTAAGGAATAGAGATAAATGAGAAAGTCCCAAACTCAATTATTAGGCTCCCCCAAAATTTCATAATAAATGTATAAATGGTTGAGGAATTCACTAGGAAAATAAAAGAATTACAAGAAGGAAAATCATGAGTGTATTTACATAAGTCATTATAAACATTTTTCAAAATGTTTTCTGAAATAAAATTGCTTACTATCAATAGATTTTAAAGTAAAAAGTAAAGCAGTAATAACTGCAAATAACCAACTAAATTTCATTAGCTGATTCAGCTCTGTAATGAATATCTGATAACAATAATACATTGCTGGTGAAAGTAGTGATAATGGCAGTGTGAGATGGAAGAAGAAGAGTTGGACTGTTATTAGGAAGAGGAGCCCTCTGACATCAAGGTTGCTATCATCAACACCAAGATCACTGTCTCTCATTACATTCAACACCACTAGAAAAATTTTCTATATTTGCAAAATTTTTGAAATTACTGCTACTTCATTGTCTCATGGAAAATAGATTATAATCTTTTAATTAACATTTATAAATATTTTGTTATTGTTATTATTCTGTCTTTTCATCATAGAACTCAGTGGAGAGATGAGGGTAGAGTTTTTCAGTGGTTGAACTTTTGGATAAGCCGAATAAAATCTACACAGGCTGAACTCATTTTTATTCCATTTTGTTGTTAAAACAAATGAAAAAGAAAAGCTTCTGTGCCAGCATTCTCTCTTCTTTCAGGCTGAGTCATTTCCTAAGAGGCTCCTTATCCCTTAAAGTAGACTTCTGGCAGATACACCATAGTATCATTTTAATTATGTTTAAGCAAGCCTGGGGATGGTAGTTATTTAAATCACAAGACATGTACAATATTTTCAACAATTTCATTAAGTCATTCCTAATACTGAAACTAAAGATTTTCTCCCTTTCCAATATTATGCAAATTATAGATTACTAACACCAAATAAACGCCTAGCAATATTATTACATTAATTCTAAGAAACACTAACATAGGAGACTTGGTTTCTTCTAAAGACATCATTTTAGGTATAATTGGAAATACAAAAACATTTCATTTTAATAAGGGGAAAATTAGGCAATACATATAAATTAATTTAAAAATTGAATGACGTTTATGAATTAACAGAAATCATTAGGTGTACTTAAAACAATATCTGAATAAATGTTTTGATGAGGAAAGAAAGTGCTCTTAAAATTAATATATAAATTTAAATGAGATTTTACATGAGATTGCTAATCAGGGTCAGTTTTTTTAATTGTTTAAAATAACCTTGAAGTTTATGTGGCAATAAATAAAGGGAGTCTGAAAATAGCAAAGATTATGAAACATAAAATTGTGTCATGTATTGTAAATCTTTTGCCTATAAATTTTAAAGACAGGTTATCAGTTTTATCAGCAAAGATGGCTAGAGTGTTGATTGGAGTCGTGTTAGATTTATAGATCACTTAGAGTAAAATTGACATACAAAATATATTAAGTATTCAGATCCATAACATGGTATACTGCTAAAATTATTTTTATCCTCATGATTTTCAAGCATAAACAGGCAGATTAAAACTCTGCCTTAATCTTCCTTTCCTGATTTTACAGAATTGCAACATCAATTGGAAGGAAGGACTTTGGCCTCTTTCAGGTCTTTCCTGGTCATCCACACAACCCTGTAGACGCTTGGTCTTCTGGCTTTTCAGTAACATGTTAGGGCTTTTCAAAGTTTTCTTTGGACATTTCCTTCCCCAGCTTTAGTCAGCTTCTTGTTTGCTCCAACTGTTATCAACACCTCTTGTAAGCTGCCATATTATTAAACTTTTTAAAGTTAACTAATGTCCATAAAAATTATTTTCTGAATGATCCAAACCAAGTCAGCTCTGACTAAGGTCAAATACATACAAGGCCTGTGAGAGAAGGTTTTCAGATAACTGGAGAGGGGTCAGATAATGTCAATTTTCTGTGAATAAGGTTTAACATGAGTTCCAAGCCCATTCTCTCTCCACCAGTGAGTACCTGGTAAGCTACTATTCTTCACGAATACTGTGATAGTAAGTTTTGGGCTTTTAGGGTTACCACATACCTGGGAGAGGGGAGTGTGACTTCAATGAGTTTAAACACCACAAAGTTCGTAACTCTTACTGAGACAGTCATTTTTCTTGAATAAATACTTCTCCGATTGTTGCATGCTTTATTTAATTTTCAAAGTTCTGAAAAAGTTGATATTGGCAATTTTTGCCAAAATTTTTATTGATTTTACAGAGGGGCAGATTTTTGGAGTCCCTGACCTGCCATTTCTAATGGTAATTATCCTTTGACATTCTTTCTTTCTTCCTTCCTTTCCTTCTTTTTTTCCTTATTAAACTGTCTAGGACTATATTAAAATAATGCACATAGGTAATGAGAGCAGTATCTTTGCCTTAAACTTGAGAATTAACTACAACCTTTTGTCATTGAGTGTGATGTAGGGTTTTTTTCAACTACATACTTTATTATATTGAGAGAGTTGTCTCCAGTCCTAGTTTGCTGAAAGGTTTTAGCTGTTTTTGGGTTTTCTTTTTTTTGTTGTTGTTGTTGTTTTTTTTTTTTAGTTTTGCAAAATGTTTCTCCTGCATTCTGAATGTATTGGGGTAATCATATGGGTTTTTTTTTGTCTGTTAATATGAAATACATTGATTTTCAAATAGTAACTATACTCATTCATGGTGTTTTATACTGTTTCTATATTTCTAGATTTAATTTGCTATTATTTTGTTAATTTTTTTGGTTCATGAGAAAATTAAGTTGATAAATGTTTTCTATTCTTTTGACTACTCATTTAGTCAGCTAAGAAAAAAGTTTTAACTATCTCGATCATATTTGTATATTTGTAAATTTTGCATTTCAATTGTATTTTTCCCCATGCATTTTGAAGCTTTTTGATTAGGTGCTTGTACACTTAGCACTGTTATATCCTTATATCCTTTTTTTTTTCTTTTCTCTTTTTTTTGAGACAAGGTCTTGCTCTGTCACCCAGGCTGGAGTGCAATAGTACAATCAGAGCTCACTGTAGCCTCGACCTGTCAGACTCAAGTCATCCTCTCACTTCAGCCTCACAAGTAGAGGTCTCACTATGTTGCCAAGGCTGGTCTCAAACTCCTGGCCTCAAGCATATCCTCCTGTTGAACTGACCTCTCTATCATTATAAAATGTTTCTCTTTTCGCTGGTGATATTCCTAGCTTGAAACCTACTTTGTCTGATATTAATTTATTCAACTCAGCTTCCTTTGCTTAGTGTTTTCATAATATCTTTTAAAGTCTTCTACTTTTAGCCTATTGGTATATTAATATTTAAAATTCATTTCTTATATAACACATATAGTTAGATCTTTTTAGTCAGCTTGATCTCTGTCAATAGATTGTGCTTTTAGATTATTCCAATTAGATCGAATATAACTAACAATATGGTTGGTTTTGAATCTGCCAACTTCTAGTTTGTTTTATATTTGTTCCATTTTTCTCCATTCCTTTTTTCCTGTCTTCTTTTGAGTTAAATGAAAACTTTTTATAATTCCACTTTCTCTTCAATATTGGCTACTTCCTCATCTCTTAGTTTAAATTTTCAGTAGATCCTCCAGGGATCACAATATACATCTTTAACTTATCACAGTTTATTTTCAAATATAATGCTACTTTTTATGTATCTTGAAAGAAGGTAAGATTCTACATCTGTTTCTCTCCTCATGTGCTACTGATGTTGTTATTTTTATTTCTATGATATAATATACACATTTGTATTATTTTGTTCACAGAATTGTTTTAAAAGAGATTTATATATGAGAATAAAAGACTTCTACATTCTATGATTATAATTGAATGGCATTTGCCATTCATCTTTCTAAATTTCTATCTTATATTATTTGTTCTCTGCCTGAAGAACATTCTTTAATATTTTTTGTAGTTCCAATCTGCGAGTGATGAAATATCTCAATTGTTATTTGTCTAAATAATTTTTCTTTCACTTCATTTTTGAAAAATCTTTTGCCAAGCAGAGAACAACCAGATTGACAGTTTTGGATTTTTTTCCTCACAGTACTTTAAAGATATTACTATATATTCTTCTTGCTTGCATACATTTTGCCAAGAATGCTTTGTCACTTATATGTTTGTTCCTTTGTACATAATAGGTCATTTTTTCTTCCCTCTCTAGCAGCTTTTAAGATTTTTCTCTGCATTACTGGTTTTACCAATTTGATTTTGATATGCCATAGTGTTGTTTTTTGTGTGTTTATTCTGATTGGGGTTTGCTTAACTTCTTGGATGTGTTGCTTTACAGTTTTCATCATATTTAAAATTCTCTATTCTTATTCCAGATACTACCCTTTCCTTCCACTCCCATCCGTAGCCTTCCGCCTTCCTCCTTCTGGATCTAATTACGCTTGTTAGAATACAATTATCACTGTAGCTCTTTTTATTTTCCTGTCTTCTTTTTTTTGCTTGTGTTTTTTTAGATCTCTGTTCTCATTTCCTTCCGATGACTTCATTTTTACTGATCTATTCTTCTGCAATGTCTAATCTGCTGTTAATTCTCTACAGTGTACTTTTAATTTAGTTTTTTCTTTATAGATTTTTATTTGGTAATGCTTTATATTTCTTATTTCTCTCTTTATCATTGTCACATATTTTTTAATTGGGCACATATAAGCATAAGGCACATATTTATAATTCTTTTCATATTTATTAATGTCCTTCACTGCCAATTCTGTCATCTCTCTTATTTATGAATGTCACTATTGATTATATTTTCTCATGATTATGAGGCAGATTTTCCAGCTTCATTGATTAGATAACTAACATTGTGAATATTATGTTGTTGAATGCTGGATTTTGACGTATTTCTTTAAATTGTGTTGTAACTTGTTCTGGTGAAGAAATAAGTTCTTGGAAACAGTTAAATGCTTGCTTTTAAGTTTTTTGGAGTGTGTCTTGACCAACTTTTAACTGAGGGCTAATTTAGATCTTCTACTAAGGTGTCACCCTTCTGAGATTTCTCCATGTCTTAAAAGTCTTCAACTCTGGCTGATGGGAGGAATTGCTATTCCCAGCTGTGTGTAGACTCTGTGAATTGTTGCACTTTCTAATTTCCAGTGGTTCTTTCTCTGCTCATGTGGTTTCCTCTCACATAGGTGCAGATTAGATTGAGGGTGTCCCTAGGTAGATTCTAAAGCTTGCTCTTTCTTTCTCTCTCTCTCAGCTCCCCTTTCACTGGTAGTCTGTTTTATAAATTCTAGCCACTCAGACCTCTTTAACCTTTAATCTCTGTCTTCCTAAATCTGCATGATGGCTTGGTTCTGCTTGGATTTTCCTTCTTTATGCCGCAGCACAGGGACTACTTCTAGGCCAATGGTTTTCAAACTGAAATGATTTTGTTCCATAGTAGACATTTGGAATGTCTGATAACAATTTAGGTTGTTACAACTAGGGTAGTGCTACTACATTAGCACCAAAGCTAAGGATGGTGCTAAACTTTCTACAATGTACAGGACAGCTCCCTACAACAAAGAATTATCCAGCCCAAAATGTCAACAGTGTGCAAGGTTGAAAATCTTTTCCCTAGGCAGTTTCTGGGGAATATTATCATTCTCTCAGGTATCATAATCCTGCATGGCTTAATGCCTCAAAACTGTATTTTGTTATATTTTGTTCAGTTTTCTAGTTATCTGAGTTGGAAATACAAATCCAGTCTTTCTTAGTTCATCATGGCCCAAAGTGGAACTCTTTCTTGCCTCTTGATAATAATATTTGCATTCTATTCATCCTCCTAACTTGCTCATGTACTTAAATTTTCCAGATTCCTTGAATGTGTAGACTCTTAGTTTAAATTTCCCTCTAATATTGCTTGTACTCACGATATGTTAAGGTGTGGGCTATGATTAACTTATAATTGAGGATGCTTACTTTGTATAAAGGAAGGGTATTACAACACAGAGAAAAACTTACGCCTCATTTTTATCTCCAAATCTGCTCTCAAAACTCACAAACTATAAAATATCTTTGTGAAGTTTTCTGAAGTATGCCTGCCTGATAACTCCAGGTTTTGATGGGGAGAGGAGGCAGAGAAATTCTAGGCAGACAGGGGTGGGTCCCTGGTGAAGCCCCACTCTCAAGCTGAAAAGCCTAAGACGGTGGCCCAAAGTGAGAATTTACATCTTTGTTTTCCCACTTGAATGCTGCCTTTTCAAAAACCACCTGTGGCCTGCCCCAACCCCCATCCTGTGCCCATAAAGACTCCAGCAAGCAAAGAGGAGAAAGCTGGACATCAGACAATGGCTCAACATTGGAGAGAACCAGCTTGACTTTAGAGGAACGCTTGATGGCTAACTTTGGAGAAGAATCCAGCTGGAGATGGCCAGACTTCAGGGGAAGATTACCTTCCTACCCTATCCCTTTTTCAGCTCCTCTTCCACTAAAAGCCACTTTCATTGGCAATAAAATCCCCCCACATTTATCATCTTTTAATTTATTTGTGCAACCTTATTTCTCCTGGATGCCAGACAAGAGTTTGGGTGCCATGAGTGCGAACACTAAAGGCTGTCATACTGGCCTTTCACTCTCACTGGCAGAGGGGCAGCTGCCTCATGTGAAAAGTCAGAAGGCCCACTGAGCTGTTAACACTTAAGCCATCTGCAGATGGCAGAGCTAAAATAGCACTGTAACATTCTCCCTCTGAGGCTTCAGGGGTCGCAGGCATCTCCCCAGATTCTGCCATGAGGCCTGCACAGAGTTTGCTCCTGCCAGCACCCAAAAGCACTCACCCTGACTCCTGCACGTGCTCAACCATGCACTCCATCCCACAAGGAGTGGACTGCTGCAGGTCTAAGTGAGTGGAGTTCACTCCTGCCAGTGCTGAAGCAGCCAGCTGGTTCCAGGGTTGGTGCACTCCAGTTCCCGCCTTATGTGCTTGCATGCTCCCTCTTACTAGGAATTGAAAACTGCAAGCTGGGTAAATCAGGCACACCTGTCACGAATCCCACGAAGGGGTTGGGAAAATATTCTGCTTCAGTTCCATTTCTTCAGAGCTTTTAGCCTGATTCCAATAGGCTGTGGCATGTTTCCACCACATCTAGAGAGTTACGGGCCAAGTTCCAAAAAAAGGAAATCACAGCGAGAAAAGCCCAGAGAGAAGGCCTTCCTTTGTGGGCTTAGTCCATGGCACGTCTTTCAAGTTCCTGATATGAGTCCCTGATTCTGCAGTTCTTCCTAGGATGGGTTGACATCAGGGATGATTAGTCCTGTGAGTGAAAACTCAAATCTTACTATAGCACAGTTATACCTATGAGACATTAGTACATGTCCCAAAAAGTGGTTTATTGTATGACCTTTATTAAACTGAGACCAGTTCTTTATCACATATTCCCCACAGTAAAATGAAGAGCATGTCAAATATGTTTTAGTTTTTCTGATCTTTCGGAGACAGCTATTAAAGCACAAGCAAAATACGCTTATATCTAACCAAAAGCATGGTTAATTGCCCAGACTGAAACCAAATGAATTCATTTTGAATCTCACTTTGACACTTAGCTTTGTGACCTTAAAGAAGCTAATGTAATGTCTCAGTGTTCTCATCTGAGGTCTTGGATATGTCATCTTGGGATAATACCTTATTCCTCAAATGGTAATAATTCTATTGTTGAATTTGAAAACATTTTGCACTTACTTTAACTTAACCAAAACAGTTCAGCAAGGGGTTTAAAACACACACACACACACACACACACACAAACGTACACACACGTACTAATAAAATTATAGCTTAATTCAACAAGTTTCAGCTTCAGCATTTTATTTTTTAAATGCAAAAGAAAGTGGGTGCTGAAATATGACTGCTACTGGTATCTGTAGTAAAGGACAGACACCAAGAATAGGTAAAAGATATAATCTGCAGTAAAGAAAGTGAAAAAAAATAAAAGCAAGGAAGGGAAAGTGGGAAGGAATTATTTCTTTTGAGAACTAGGTGAGTCTATTACATATGTTAACCCCTTCAATTCTTGAAATTGGACTACAGAGTAGTTGTGCTTGTCATCTCATTACATAGGAATATGAAGTTGAGAGAAGTTCAGAAATGCATTTTAGAACACTTGTTCTGTAAGCTGGGTACTAGAATTTGAACACAGGCCTGCTAAATCTAATATTCTTTGCTAAAGAAAACACCCTATTTCAACTCATTTCCCTCAGGAAAAAGACAGGTGAGATGATGCCCAATGATCTTTTGTTTTTCTGCTTCTTCACTTCAATGTCATAAAAAAGTCATCATAGTGGGGCAGAAAATTAAACTATTACCACTCAAACACAGTACCCAGATATCCTAAGACTTCTTTATATTACTCCCAAATACACTAAATCTCCCAGCTCTCAAACTTCCCACTAACCACTAATTTATCTAACAAAGGCTATCAAAACTGATTTGGTATAACAAGCCGTAGCACATTTTTTAAATGCCTAATATGAATGGACTATGATTGTTGCTAAATTTTTAAACTCATTTTTGAATATCATTTTATATTTTACCAATGTTGAAAGTCCAAAAACATATAAGGCTCTGTTTTAAAGATTCTATTTTCAAGAACATCTATTTATTCTCCTTTGAGGGAAGTGACATTTATTGTAGAGTTCAGGATTACCCTATCGGCTCGTTGCAAGACCTCGTGCAATCTCGGTTCATTTACTCTCTTAAGCTAGTTCCCAAGGTAAAACGAAAAAGTGTTTACTACACATCTAGCTATAAATTGCTGTGAGTACTGAGTGTGTTGAAATTATGGAATCAAAGATAATATTCATGTTGCAAATGTGATCAGTCCTGCAGTGGCTGTAAAAGAATATACAGGTGATGACGTGGTTGGAATTTACCCAGTGTGAGTGTATGATTCAAGCCCATAATAATTGTTTATTTTTGGCCATTATATGAACCAGAATAAAGGGTGAAGCAAGTATAAATCTACCAAACAGAAATCATTCACCAAAACTAAATGCATACTTCTGTGCTAGTTTCAAATTGCATTAATACTCACTTTCACTATTTCTTTAAGCAAAGTCACACATCTTCATTCGTCTCTCTACCAGATGATATTAAAAGATATTTTATTAGGAAAGAAGCAAATACGAATGAATTCAAACATCATATCAGGTACTTCTTCCTTGATATTAAGAAGTAAATCAAACTTGAACTCTCAATACAAAAATGCATATTAGCCTCTGGTAATCACAAGTTCACATTATTTCCTCTTTTTAAGAATGAGGTAGAGTGGAAGTGGTGGTTATTCGAGTGTTTTATTGAGATATTTGTTTTTGTCTTAATCAATAGTCTTGAACAGTCTTAAAATCAGAGATACAGTCAATAATCATGGGTGGTTACTTTTACGAGAAAAAAATCTGCTGTGTTGTCTATTTCCTACCTAGTTCTATTATAGTACTGTGGGGCTAGTGTTACTATTAGCCCCATTTTATAAATGACACAAGTGAGACTTAGAGTGACTTACTCAAGGTTATAGAGTTAGAAGCTGTCATAATAGAATCAAACTCAGGCAAGCTAACTTTTAAGTGTCAGAGACGAAATCACTTTACCATACTGCCTAACGTTAATGACTATGAGAAAGGAAATCATTTAAATCCTGTTACACACTGAAGAAACATGCTTACTGCCAACAGTTCTCAAAATGTGGTCCAAATTAATTTCAGAAGAGAAAGTGAAAGAGGAAGAGGAAAAATTGCCTTTTTTCTCTCATTTTCTCAAGATAACACAGTAGAATTTTCTAGAGGCTATGTGATGTGTGATATCACAACCAATTAAAGGCCGAAAAAAAAAATTTAAGAATCAAGCTGTCTTCTATTCAACCAGACATTAAAAGAGACTTGTAAAACTGTAAAACATTGCCACTCATCTCACTAAACTATTTTCATTTTTGAAAATAAAACTCTTTCTAAAATATATGTTAATTATTTTAAGACATAGTGTGTTTATTTTTAAATAAACAACTAAAGACAAAAAAATTCTAGGTTTAATTCTAATGAAATGTTGACATATATAACTCATATAAATAGCAGTACTTTGATGATAGTCTAATACTTTTTAAGAAACCAAAGGGGTTCTGAGACCAAAATATTTGAGAACCACTGCTATAAGGCATTTTGATTACACACCATTTCCTCTGCCTAGGTCAGGTTAGCTAGATGTTCAGAAAGTCTAGGTGTTTTAAAACAATGTATCTGCGGCCGGGCGCGGTGGCTCACGCCTGTAATCCCAACACTTTGGGAGGCCGAGGCGGGCGGATCACGAGGTCAGCAGATCGAGACCATCCTGGCTAACACGGTGAAACCCCGTCTTCTATTAAAAATACAAAAAATTAGCCAGGCAAGGTGGCCGGCGCCTGTAGTCCCAGCTACTCGAGAGGCTGAGGCAGGAGAATGGCGTGAACCCCGGGGGGCAGAGCCTGCAGTGAACCGAGATCGCGCCACTGCACTCCAACCTGGGCGACAGCGAGACTCCATCTCAAAAAATTGTATCTGTTTGGGTAGATTTATGGCCTAAGCTTATCACCATTCTATAATTTCATTTTGAAAAATACTCTTTTAAACTATAGTATAAAGTTTGATTTTGTATGCCCGAGGTTTGAAAAGGTCATTAGTTCAAAATCAATGGAGTGGTTTTTCATTCCTTTTAATGTAGGATCAAGTTCATTTTGATTTGGTACTCAGTAGGTTATAATAACCCACTGAGTGCATGAAACTAAATGAGAGAAACTGTACTGAGCAAGTGGCACTCTTGAAGTTTTCATAACTTTGTGTTGCTAGGAAACAACTTTACTATCAGCTCAGAGTTTAACTTGGAGCATCTGCTTCATTTAAAGTCTGGTTTCCAGGCAGTGTAGATTGCATTGAGCATTGGGAGGGGGATAAAAAGCAAAAGCAAAACCAATTACTTTCTAAAAACAACAACAATGTTAAAAGTCTTGAAAGCTGAGGGTCTTATGCTATATTTGTAATTATATCCTTTGGAACTGTTGCTAGAGGGGTTGTCTTTCTGCTAACTCATAAACCTGAAGTCCAGAGTAGAAATCGGGATCACTCAGGTTCAAAAGTTCTAAGAAATGTACAGTGAGAATTGAATGATGGCATCTCAGCCTTTGAGGAGGGAGTGAGAGGGGAAAATATACTCTATGTCGTTGACTTGCATTTTAACATATTCTTCTCAGGCAAAATTGCTACTTTAAGGATATGTTTTATGATGTATGCAGGTCATATATTCTACCCTTCCTTCTGCCCTTTTCCTTATTGTTTCATATTTCAGCATGTTATGGTAAGTCTGGAACAGGAAAGAGAAACAGCATATACTGTACTGGCCAATTATTTGTCCTTTTCATACAAATTGATGCAGTAGCCTAGCACCATTTTTTCAAGGCATACCTGCTTAAATAAATTAATACTAACATTTCTACCATTTCATAAGGGAGAAACGTAAATTTATATCCCAATGAACAGAATATCACATGACTTTTACCCAACAAAAGCAAGTTGTGTTACTATTTTCATGTTAACAAGTCCAAGTCCTAAAAATTGAACAATTTCTTCTGTTTCACAGCATTGCCATCTATATTTTCACTCCTGAGAAGTTTGAAAATTAAAAAAAAAAAAAAAGATCATCAAGAATAAGGGATGAACCACAAAAAGAAAGAAAGGCTGGAAAAAGGTTTTACAGATTTTTAAGAAATATAACTCATTTGCCTGAGCATTCTTTCAACATCCTCATTTTAAGGTTACTTCTAAAAAGAAGAAATGATTTTTAATATTTCCTTCATCTGGAGAAATAACTGTCGCTGTTCGGTATTCACAGACTTCCTGCTGAGGACTGCTATCGCAATAAACTCTGGTCTCACGATAGGCAGCCATGATGAGAAACGGCCCCTGCATAGAGATGGTTTGAACTGTGTGGCTCCCTCCTGCCCCATATAACCATCGCGAGAAGAATGTAACAGCGGCCCTCCATTAGTGAACCTTTTACCGTGATTCCCGAGTCATAACCCCGACCCACCTTGAAATCTACTGCTGGCATTTTCTCGTCATTGGTTTGACACATGAATTAGCAGTTTAAGACTTTGCCTCCCTACTAACACCAACATCTTATTTGTATGGCTCTGGCACTAGTTCCTGCCTCCTTGTCCTCTAACTCTAATCCCAGTTATCACCCTTAATTCAGTATGCTCTTGGATCTCTGGTTAAATCTCTTAGAACTTTCCATTCAAAATAACATACTTTATACTTCAGAGCCACCCTTAGGTTTGGTACTTCTACTATGTCCATGAATTGAATTTTTGCATCTGTTTCTCTATATATGTATTTTTCATTTAAAATATTTGTTCTTAAGTCGTATAATTTACCTGGTGAAAGACCATACAACAGTACTTGCATGTAGTCTCCCTATAACTGATGAACGTGCATGTTTCTTTTCTCCGATAAATTTTATGTCAATTTTACTACATTATTGAAATTCCCCCAGCGTAATGTGATAAAATTTATCAACTAGCTTTTATACTGCTGTTTTAAATGAAACAGAGTTGAATTAAGGTCTAATGCATTCCCATAAAAATTGCCTAGGTTTGTTTTTGAAATCTCATTTTATACAGGCAGCCGAGATATTCAAAGTTGGTTGTATGGATAAAAATTTCACTCAAAAAAGTACTCAAATCTATCTCTGGTTTATAGGACACGATTTTAAAATCTGGATTTAAATATTAGAGGTTGGCTTTGTAGTTAGTTACTAGCTAGTGTTAATAGCATGGACATAGATAAAATGTTACACCCACATGAACAAATCTCATCCTTTGCTTTTGATAGGCTTAGAAAATGATTGAAATTAATGTGACTGAACTATTCTTTTTCCTAAAATAATTTTTGAGAAGTGTTTGAAAAAGGCTGTGATAATTTTTTAATGTCTGGTTCAAAACTGATCTCTTGCAGTAAGCCTTCCCAGATAGTCTATTATTAAAGACCTCTATTTTTATATTTTACTTTTTATTTCCACTGTATAATGCTTTGCTTTCTTATTAATTGCTTTGGTAATCTTTCTTAGCTGCTGTCATGCTTACAAGCCCTCAGAGAATTCTTCTTTCTTGGATCATGAAGATAAGGATCTCTCTGTCAGTGATATTATTCTTTAGCCTGAACAATTCATTCTGTATAAAGTAGGTATTCAATTAGGGAAGGGATTATGGGAATATAGGATTATGTTTTTATTAGTCAAAAGGCAAGCTATCCTGAGAAAGTTGCTGTCAAAAACCATGAAAACATATTGTAAAATTTTATTTATTACTTATAAGTAATATTTTTAGAGGAGTGGGCTGGGGAAAAGAGTAAGTGAATCTCAAACTACATTTTAAAATTTCTTTTCTGCTAATTTAAATATTTTAGTTTCATTTAAAGGTTTAGTATTATAATTGAGAGCAGAAAAGGAAATTATGTTCATTCAGATTCTTTAGCCCATGCACACAATTATCTTTCTTTATATAGTTATAGAGATTTTAAATTGCCAATTGGGGGTATAAAATAAACTCTTCATATTACCTACTAAATCTCATGAATTATAGCTACCTGCTTTTTACTTTTGCTTAAGTAATGCAAGGCCCTTTCCCTTTTTACTTATATTGTTGACTCCTATAATATATAATCTGCTAACTTTTCCTTTATTTCCCCTTCATTTCTCCATTTCTTAAAATATGTGATGTAGCCAATTACCAGTTGAGGACATACCTTTTCTAAATGTATAGGGTTCATATTTGAAGACAATTAAAAATCTTGGACAATGTTTTTCTCTTGTTAAAAAGAGTATTCCTGGGTTTTACTCCAAATCTTTTTTAAAAAATTCAAATCTGGCACCATTGCTATATTTATCTCCTTTATTTTACCTGAGCAATGTGTGATTCAAGAAGACTGACGATTTTTTTAATTAGAAAATTGATGTTGACACTATTCCTTTCTGTTTGGTAGTTTTCCTTCTAACAGTCAGACTCCTCTGCTGCAGGTCTGCTGGAGTTTGCTGGAGGTCCACTCCAGACCCTGTTTGTCTGGGTATCACCAGCAGAGGGTGCAGAACAGCAAAGACTGCTGCCTGTTCCTTCCTCTGGAAGCTTTGTCCCAGAGGGGCACCAGCCATATGCCAGCCAGAGCTCTCCTGTATGAGGTGTCTGTCAGCCCCTACTGGGAGGTGTCTCCCAGTCAGGATACACGGTGGGGCGGGGGGCGGGGTGAGCAGTGTCAGGGACCCACTTGAGGAGGCAGTCTGTCCCTTATCAGAGCTCAAACACTATGCTGGGAGAACCACTGCTCTCTTCAGAGCTGCTGAAGCTGTGTCCACAGCCGCCCCTTCCCCCAGGTGCTCTGTCCCAGGGAGATGGGGGTTTTATCTATAAGTCCCGAACTGGGGCTGCTGCCTTTTTTTCAGAGATGCCCTGCCCAGAGAGGAGGAATCTAGAGAGGCAGTTTGAGTGGCCTTGCTGAGCTGCAGTGGGCTCCGCCCAGTTTGAACTTCCTGGGGGCTATGTTTACACTGTGAGGGTGAAACTGCCTACTCAAGCCTCAGCAATCGTGGAGGCCCCTCCTCCCACCAAGCTTGAGCGTCCCAGGTCAACCTCAGACTGCTCTACAGTAACCAAAACAGCACGGTACTGGTAACAAAACGGATATATAGACCAATGGAACAGAACAGAGGCCTCAGAAATAACACCGCACACCTACAACCATCTGATCTTTGACAAATCTGACAAAAACAAGCAATGGGGAAAGGATTTCCTATTTAATAAATGATGTGGGGAACACTGGCTAACCATATGCAGAAAGCTGAAACTGGATCCCTTCCTTACACCTTATACAAAAATTAACTCAAGATGGCTTAAAGACTTAAATGTAAGACCTAAAACCATAAAAACCCTAGAAGAAAACCTAGGCAATACCATTCAGGACACAGGCATGGGCAAAGACTTCATGACTGAAACACCAAAAGCAATGGCAACAAAAGCCAAAATTGACAAATGGGATCTAATTAAACTAAAGAGCTTCTGCACAGCAAAAGAAACTATTATCAGAGTGAAAAGGCAACCTACAGAATGGGAGAAAATTTTTGCAGTCTATCCATCTGACAAAGGGCTAATATCCAGAACTACAAAGAACTTAAATTGATAAGAAAAAAACAAACAACCTCATCATAAATTGGGCAAAGGATATGAAAAGACACTTCTCAAAAGAAGACATTTAAGTGGCCAACAAACATATGAAAAAAAGCTCATAATCACTAGTCATTAGAGAAATGCAAATCAAAACCACAATGTGATACCATCTCACGCCAGTTAGAATGGCAATCATTAAAAAGTCAGGAAACAACAGATGCTGGAGAGGATGTGGAGAAATAGGAACACTTTTACACTGTTGGTGGGAATGTAAATTAGTTCAACCACTGTAGCAGACAGTGTGGCGATTCCTCAAGGATCTAGAACTAGAAATACCATTTGATCCAGGAATCCCATTACTGGGTATATACCCAAAGGATTATAAATCATGCTGCTATAAAGACACATGCACACATATGTTTATTGTGGCACTGTTCACAATAGCAAAGACTTGGAACCAACCCAAATGCCCACCAATGATAGGCTGGATAAAGAAAGTGTGGCACATATACACCATGGAATACTATGGAGCCATAAAAAAGGATGAGTTCATGTCCTTTGCAGGGACATGGATGAAGCTGGAAACCATCATTCTCAGCAAACTAACATAAGAACAGAAAACCAAACACCGCATGTTCTCACTCATAAGTGGGAGTTGAACAATGAGAACACGTGGATACAGTGAGGGGAATATCACAGGGAGGGATAGCATTAGGAGAAATACCTAATATAGATGACACGTTGATGGGTGCAGCAAACCACCATGGCATGTGTATACCTGTGTAAAAAACTTGCACATTCTGCACCACTACCCCAGAACTTAAAGTATAATAATATAATAAAAATGAGATCCAAGTAGATATGGCTTAGTTCAGTGCCAAAAAAAAAAAAGAAAGAAAATTCTACAAAATTCTGTTGCATTATAAACAAGTATAGGCACTGTGTTAAGCTCTTTACATATTCATGATCACTCAATCCTATAGAAAATAACCCTGATTCCAAAATCTGCTATTGCTTTTGTAATTACTAGGTTAAATTTATTTTGTAACCATCAGACACGTTATTTTCACACAATAGTTATTCCGTGGTTTGATTTCTTCTTCATATTTTGTGGTTTGATTTACTTCTTTTTAAATATTCTCCCTTTTACTTATTTTTTAATGTAGATACATCTTATGATCAACACCATTTTTCTGCCTCAAGAAAATCTTTCAACATTTCTGGTAGGGCAGGTGTTAAATTATGTCCCCAACTGACAGACAAAATGGACTCCCCGTGGCTAACTGAGTACTCAAAGTTAAAACAGAACCAGGCAACCATGGCTGGGTGAAGGTGCAATCACATACTGTATTCTTGAAAAAATATTTGCTATGGTTTGGGTCTGTTTCCCCACCATATCTCATGTCGAATTATAATCCCCAGTGTTGGAGGTGGGGCCTGGTGGAAGGTGATTGGATCATAGGGGTGAAGTTCCCATGAATGTTTTAGCACCATTCCCCTTGGTACTGTCATTATGACAGTAAGTTCTCATGAGATCCAGTTGTTTAAAAGTGTGTGGCACCTCCCCCATCGCTCTACTGTTCCTGCTCTTGCCATATAAGATGTATCTGCTCCCCCTTGGCCTTCCACCATAATTGTAAATATCCTGAGACCTCCTCAGAAGCCAAGCAGATGCCAGCCTCATGCTTCCTGTACAACCTACAGAACCGTGAGCCAATTAAATCTCGTTTCTTTATAAGTTACCCAGTGTCAGTTATTTCTTTATAGTAGTGTGAGAACAAACTAATAAAATATTGAAAAGGTATCACAGGACCTCCCTTTCTGCAATCAAGCCAAATCAGCTCCTGTCATTGGTACCAAGATAGACTGCAGCTAGAAATTCCTCACCTAACCACCCATAGACTACCTGAAGCCAGCCAGGCACAAGCGAAGCATGTAATGTCTTGCTTAAATGTCATCCAATTCAGACCCTGCACCTCATTGCCTCCAATCTTACAGTTTTTGCCTTTATAATATTTTCTAATCTTTTACCCCTGAACTCCTCCTCAGAGTGCACTTTCCTTTTGCACTTAAGGCTGTATCTGCCCAATCTGCAGACTTCTTTTAGAAAATAAAGTTCTCCTATTGCTTTTGCAGATTTCATTTGTCTTTTGTTAACATGAGTCAGCTGGCAATGAAGTTCTTCAACTTTTTGTTTCTCTAAGAAGGTCTTTCTTTCACTTTTATAAGATAATTTTGCTATATATTAAACTTTAGGTTAGTGGTTATTTTTTTACATTTTGATACTTTAAGTATCTTATTCCACTTTCTTCTTGCTTTCATGGTTTCTGGTAAGAAGTCTATTTTACTTCTTTTATTTATTCCTCAGTAGGTCACGATGCTTCTTTCTCTGGCTTCTGTTAAGATTTTCACTTTGCCTTTGGTTTCTGTGATTTGCAAATGATATACTTATGTGTAGTTTTTAGTATTTTTTTCTGCTCAGTGGACTCTGAGTTTCCTAGATTTGTGGCTTAGTGTCTGTCATTAATTCTGAAATGTTCTTGGCCATTATCTCATCTATTAGCCATTTTTACTTCAAGACTTATATTATCATTTCACATATTTTGCCCCATTCTTTCTGCTGTTTCTAGCATTCCAGTTATGTATACGTTACACCTGTCAAATTTTCTTACAGTTCTAGGATGCCCTGCTTTTTTATTCATTTTTACAGTTTGGGAAGTTCTATTGACCTACCATATGCTCACTGATTCTTTCTTCAGCTGTGTCTGCTGATAAGCCCATTAACAAAAGACATTCTGTTACATTATTTGTGATTTCTAGCTTTTTAAAAAAAAAAAACACCTCTGTGTTAGGTTTACCTCTCTCTGCCTATATTACCCATCTGTTCTTGAATGTTGTCCTCTTTTTCATTAGGTTACTAATTAGTCATTTTAAATCTCCTGAGAATTCCAGCACCTGTGTCATAACTGAGTCTGGTGGTGATGCTTGCTTTGTCTCTTCAGACTGTGTTTTTTCCTTGCCTTATGGCATGCCTGGCAATTTTTTGTTGAAAGCCAGACATAATTTATCAGATAATAAGAACTGAGGTGAACAGGTCTCTTGTGTGAGGATGTGAGTTAATCTGGCTAGGAATTGGTCTTTGCTTAATGTTTGCTGTAGCTATAGGTGTCAGAAGCTTCAAATTCCTCCAGTGTCCTTGTTTTTGTCTGTCCCCTGACTTTGGGTTTCCTGATGTACTCCTCCTTAAAGAGAGTCTGTATCATGCTGCTGTCTCAGCAAGAATGCAGTATTAGGACACTGCAGTCCTGTTGGTGTGGTGGTAAGGTGTTGGGAAGAGGAATTGTTCAATAATCTCTCATTTCAATCTTCATCTTTTAGTGGGCCTGTGACTTTCACAACTATTTCTTCTTGTATAGCTTCTCCACCTCTAGCCCATTAGATAAGACAGGAAAGCTATGGGCAACTGGAGCAAGAATGCCTTTCCCCCATACCTCTGGGACAAGGCTCTGGTAAGGTCTTTCCCCGCTGGAGAGCATTCTTTTGCTATAGAAAAAGCCCTGGGCATATTTCACAAGGGGTACTTTTCTCCTCCACTGACAGAGCATCCAGGGGATCTTTCTCAAATATTCACAATAAGAACCTGGTAGAGTTCCTGGAGGTAAAACCCACAAAAGTATGGGGTTCCACTAAAACCACAGCTCTTAGGGTTTTCTCACTCTTACACTAATCCACACTCAGCCTCTGGCAAATCACCAAAAATACTGTTCAAGTGCTCTTACAAGTTTGTGACACCAGTGGTTTCTGTTCCAGGGAAGCACATCTCAGCTATGACTCTAGATCCTCCCGTCTTTTCAGATGTCAAGATGCCTCTTTTTCTTGCAACCTCAGTTCACTGATGAAGCCAATAAAACACATTCATTTTTACTTTGCCAAGCTTTTATTTGTTGTTGTAAGAATGGGGATGATGTCTCTCAAACCTTTTACTTGAAAGCCTTATTGATTTTTAGCAATACACATTTATTCAAAAATTGATTAATTTGCTCAGCAAACAATTATTGAGCATCTAATATATGCCAGGCACTGTATGAAGTGTCCATAGCCATCAAGAGGAGCCAATCAGGATGTGTCTCTGCAGCCTCTTTCCACTGGTAAACCAGATGCAGATGTTTTGCGGTCCTAATTATTGAAGGAGTTCCAGGATTCTCCAAAATAAAATCTATCTTTTTTCCATTTCAGCTGACACACTGTCAGATGTGCAAATTCCATGCGGAGGTATTTGTTTCCTTCTCCTGGTGTCAGGCTGTTGAGTGTGATTTGTACTTCCTGCTGCTTTGCTTCAGGCAAAGGAGGAGGTGACAGCTTCAAGTTGAATAATTAGACTAATTGCAGTACACACCCGAGGTTCTCAAGGAAAGTGCAAATACAGAAAATCAATTTTATAGTATTATTATCCAATTTTACAGTGTGTAATAATATATTTATGAAGCATCATCTTCAAAAATAGAAATAAAGATGATGAAGATAAACAAAAATAAAACCAAAATAGGCTCTATGCCCAGAAATCCAGAGCAATAAACTAAGTACAGCAGGAAAACATTGCCTAAAAGGAAGAGTTTTCAGAGACACAAAAAAGTGCTTTGAAAATGCTTTCTTCCAGATTGAAAGAGGATTCAACATCTTAGCTGTGTTAGGAAAATACAAGTTTTCACACAAAGAGACCATACAGAATGTGTTTATCAACTCTCTTAATTTAGCAATTAGGAAATTAATCATCAGAAATGATATCATACTTGTGGGAGCTCAAAGTCTGATTTAGATCTCCAGTCTCCTGAATGCCAGTTCATGGTTTCATCAACAGAGACAAGAACTTTATCTATGACTTTATGTTCTTCATTGATTAGCTTTATGCATAATTCATTGACAGGATTTAGACAAAATAAACTAGAAAAAATTGGAGACATCAATAGAAGAAATTAGCATAGATTCATGAGAGAGATAAACAGGCTTCAGAAAGCTACTGATATATAGGTACCTTGTTTTGTCATTGTATTTTACTATATCTGAAGTAAAAGCGAGTTTCAGAAATTTTGTACAGATAGTGGTCTCCATTAAGTCAAAATTTAAAAAAAAAATTCTGAACATTGAAAGAAAACAATTTACAAATGAATAAAAAACTCTTTTCTCCCTACCACTTTTTTTTAATGGAATGATTTGCAGTTTGATGTGTAGATTATTAACAGACATTGATAAATAGCTTTGACTCAATTTGTGCTTTTGCTTCACTCCACATAGCACTGCTCTGTCAGGTTTTGAAAACATCAGAGACAGAAGCATGAAGCATGCCTGCCTCAACAACATTGAATTTATGAATTTATATCTAACAGTATCACCGTTATAATCTGAGATGGTTCATTGTTTTAAACATTATTTCTCATTTGGTCTTTAAGAAGATTATGATTGTATCTGTCCTTCTAAAGTGGCAATTTAAAATCCTTGTTATGGCAAAGAATCCTATTTTTCTAAAAATCGTTAGGTATACCTAAAATTGTTAAGTATGAAAATAAACTCTGGTTTAAAAATATCAATTATATGTGTTTTTCTTTTTCTGATTATGGCATAAATATTTCAATAGGTTTAAACATAATAAAAAATTAGTATATTTTATGGGCCAAGAAGGCAAATCAAATTAAGCATGCTTGTGTGTGGTAGGGGTGGTGAAAGCATGGAGAGCCAGGGGATAAGGAAAGAAAGCCAAGGGAAGCCAGCAAGACATGAGACGAGAAGCAGACAGTGGCTATGAACCCCAAGGGTGGATAGGGTAACTGATCAGTGAACCAAAGTATCAAGTGAAAGAGAAGAGAATTATAACAAGTGAATGGCTGCATGCAATTTTTGTAAGTGGGAGATTAATGTGATGACTAGGGGCTTCAGGAGTGGAAGGGGAGACCAGTCAGAGTCACAGTAGAGTAAACTGATACAAAGCTGACCAGCAGAGGGTGTATTTATCCATGTCTTCTAAAATGTAAATCACCTGGGGATCTTGAAAGAATGCATATTTATAATCTCTAAATCTGGGTTGGAGCCTGAAATGTTCTAACAAGCTGATGTGATGTCCATGTCCAGGTGATGTCCATGATGCTGCTCTATGGAGTACATGCTGTGTAGCAAGGTTCTAAGACATTCATTTTATTTTAGCTCTAGCAAAATTCACTAAGACGTGAAAAAACTTCCCATGTTACTGAGCTGAGCTAGTTATCATAATTCATTGTAAACGTAAATGGTGTTAAAAGCTAAAATGTAAGCTAATTTCATTCATAGAGAATTGAAATACTTCTGTTACCTTAGCAAGAAAAGTGATACGAAGAATCCTAAAAATCAAAGGTTCTTCCCCCTTGTCATTTGGTAGTTTTTGTTTGTATAATGGTATTTAGTTTGTTTTTATATATTCACCAATTATGTAGGAAAAGCAGCTTCGGTGAGCATGAGTGGTCTGGTAATGTTCTGTGGCTTGCTAGATCCAATTGGCTAGATCACAGTATATAGGATTTGTTTACTTAGATATAAATGGCAAGTGAATGGGCTTAAATGGTTTTATTTCATGTAGACGGCAGTGCCTCTTATAAAATTTTATTTTGAAATGTGCCAGTCTTCTGATAGAGGGTATTTATTTAAATTAAATAATTTTTTGAAATAGGGTTTTCTGAAACAAAAGAAGCCCACTCATCACATTCCCCAGAGGTAAGAAAGATAATGTTTAAAAAATGTAATTTAAATTGGCCAAAAACATAATAAAAATATTCTTTCTAGGAAAATGATATTCTATTTATCTTTATAAATTTAGAATCTAACGAATATGGCATGTATAAAGGCTGATACACGATTACTATATACACATAGTGTATGCGTGTGTGTGTATATATATATATATAACATGCATATAAAATCAGATTATTCTGTGTGTATTGTTCATTTTTATACATTCAGTCTACATATCACCTAACTCCCTTTTATAGAAAGCAGATTAGTGTTATTTACTGAAGAATTGTTAAATTACCTTCTTCTAGTTTGCTGATTACTTAGCTCCTCCTTAAATAGGAGTATAGACCTCAAATTATAAGAGCTGCACAAGAAAGTGTAGTTTAACTATTCATATGACTTTGTGCAAGTCACTCAACCCCGGGACTTTTTCTTTAAGGATAAAATGTAGCAGTGTTACAGAGTGGGAAAGAAGTTCAAGTCAGAATATCATAGGCATCTTGGCTTCCTAATGATATTAAAATGTCAATTAAAATATTATAAATGAAAATTATCACTTGAAAAGTAAGCATAAGCTAATGTATCTCAAAAAATTGTCTAAAATGACCTAAACAATTGCATGAGATACTAATTTTAGTGACTAAATTAGGGGCAGAATTATGTAACTATTTTTTAATTACATAGTCAATGTTGACTGTTTATGAGCTATTGAATGATTACCATGGAATGCCAAGATAATTACTTAAGGCCTGATTCAGTCTCAAATATCTCTGCAGCTGTAGAGGCTGCTGAGTCCTGTGGATTTTCCTCTGGATTGCCAGCTGCACAGACTTTCCACCAGTTATGAAGCCATAAGCCTGATTCTACTCATACTCAGCCACCTACAATCCCATACAGTGTTTGGTGCATAAGGGCACTTAAACGATTTCATGTCAAATCTTGGCTTCACAGAAGGAGACTGACAATACAATTCTTGAAACTCCTAGAAAAGAGTTATTTGGCACTCTCTCATTTGCCCCTGAAGTGCCCTCTCTTCTCAGTGTTGTACTTCTGTTTCATTGACTCATACGCAACCATCTGTGGAAAGGTTTGTGTTCTCTGGTGCCTTAGCCCTCTCTCTCTCAAGACTGTCTTTCCAGTGTAATTGTTCTGGGTGATTCTGTCCAGAAAATCCTGTCACTCATTAAAATTTATCTTCCACATAGAAATGATCAGATTAATTCAATCTTAGCAGTTTGTTAAATAACAAAATTGTGTAATGTTCAAGTAAAGAAAAATGTCGAGGAGGATGTTTTCCATTTCATCACTTTCCAAAAGTCCACTGAGGTATACGACTGGTGAATAGCACATGACTTAATAGAAAGTAATAGATAAATAAACAAACATTTTAAAAGGCCAATGAAAATTAGGTCAGAAGTAAAGTATTGATTGTGTTGCTCTCACTTTGATAAACTAAATAACCTAGAAACTCTGTAAAACACCTAGAAAGAAATATAGAATTTATACATTTACAATAATAGCTCATTTTTCAAGATAGCAGGAAAAATTTATAGGGTAAAAAAAATAATCTGTAAAAGAAAGTAAACTTGTGAGTCCGTCTGGGTGATGATGTCACTGTTAGGGACATTGCCTAAAAAAAAAAAAAAGAAAAGCTTTCTTTGAGAATTTGTACACAAGGGCTTTCCCTCTTCAGGCTTTGAACTCCAAATATATACAAAACGGTCCAGGGATGCCCATCAAGAGAAACAGCCTAAAGGTTAGTGGTGCGTTGGTAAACCTCTTGAGATATATTAAAGAAGCAAAAAAAAAAAAAAAAAAAAAAAATTATCTAAAGGGCTGAATCTTCAACACTGGCCACAAATGACTGTAGGTCAAGCCATGATTAGGAATCACAGGGGAAAACAGGCCAGTGTTGAATGATAGGCAGCAGAAAGACATCAATAGAATATGAAGCTTACACCTTTCAAATGCTCAGCTAGAAAAATATTACAACAAATGCTTTACAGTATTAAAATGTGATTGTCTTAATAGTAACACTTAGAAACTAATAAACCAAGCAGATTTGCAAAACAATAAAATAAAATGTTGTAAGTGTATAGAAAAGAGCATTATCAAAATTTAATAGAGGGACTAATCAGTGAATTAAATAGCACTCAAAAGAAAATTAGGTAAATCAATATAACAGATCTCAAAGAGTACCAAAAAATAATATATTACAAAAGAATAAAATTTCCATTATTACATTCACATTTGCAGTTATTAAAATATAATACCTTTTTCACAACATCTATATGTAATATAGTTTGCAGATAAAATATTATACAAAATGTGCAAGTATGATTATTCCAAGTTTATAAGTTTCAAAGTTGAGCACTGTATCAACCTAATTTGTTAAATGAAGAAATTTAAGGTGGAGCCAAGATGGCCGAATAGGAACATCTCCAGTCTACAGCTCCCAGAATGAGCAACACAGAAGATGGGTGATTTCTGCATTTCCAACTGAGGTACCAGGTTCATCTCACTGGAGAGTGTCAGACAGTGGGTACAGGACAGTGGGTGTAGCGCACTGAGGATGAGCCGAAGCAGGGCGAGGCATCGCCTCACCCAGGAAGCGCAAGGGGTCAGGGAATTCTCTTTCCTAGTCAAAGAAAGGGGTGACAGACGGCACCTGGAAAATCGGGTCACTCCCACCCTAATACTGCACTTTTCCAACAGCCTTAGCAAACGGCACACCAGGAGATTATATCCTGCACCTGGCTCAGAGGGTCCTACACCCACGGAGCCTAGCTAATTGCTAGCACAGCAGTCTGAGATCAAACTGCAAAGCAGCAGGGAGGCTGGGGGAGGGGTGCCCACCATTGCTGAGGCTTGAGTAGGTAAACAAAGCAGCCAGGAAGCTCGAACTGGGTGGAGCCCACCGTAGCTCAAGGAGACCTGCCTGCCTCTGTAGACTCCACCTCTGGGGGCAAGGCATAGCCAAACAAAAGGCAGCAGAAACCTCTGCAGACTTAAATGTCCCGTCTGACAACTTTGAAAACAGTAGTGGTTCTCCCAGCACGCAGCTTGAGATCTGAGAACAGACAGACTGCCTCCTCAAGTGGGTCCCTGACCCCTGAGTAGCCTAACTGGGAGGCACCCCCCAGTAGGGGCAGTCTGACACTTCACACGGCTGGGTACTCCTCTGAGACAAAACTTCCAGAGGAACAACCAGGCAGCAACATTTGCTATTCAGCAATATCTGCTGTTCTGCAGCCTCCACTGCTGATACCCAGGCAAACAGGGTCGGGAGTGGACCTCCAGCCAGCTCCAACAGACCTGCAGCTGAGGGTCCTGACTGTTAGAAGGAAAACTAACAAACAGAAAGGACACCCACACCAAAACCCCATCTGTACGTCACCATCATCAAAGACCAAAGGTAGATAAAACCACAAAGATGGGGAAAAAACAGAGCAGAAAAACTGGAAACTCTAAAAATCAGACCGCCTCTCCTCCTCCAAAGGAATGCAGATCCTCACCAGCAATGGAACAAAGCTGGACAGAGAATGACTTTGACGAGTTGAGAGACGAAGGCTTCAGACGATCAAACTACTCTGAGCTAAAGGAAGTGCAAACCCACGGCAAAGAAGTTAAAAACCTTCAAAAAAAATTACACAAATGGCTAACTAGAATAACCAATGCAGAGAAGTCCTTAAAGGACCTGATGGAGCTGAAAACCATGGCACGAGAACTACGTCATGAATGCACAAGCCTCAGTAGCTGATTCCATCAACTGGAAGAAAGGGTATCAGTGATGGAAGATGAAATGAATGAAATGAAGCAAGAAGAGAAGTTTAGAGAAAAAAGAATAAAAAGAAATGAACAAAGCCTCCAAGAAATATGGGACTATGTGAAAAGAGCAAATCTACGTCTGATTGGTGTACCTGAAATTGATGGGGAGAATGGAACCAAGTTGGAAAACACTCTTCAGGATATTATCCAAGAGAACTTCCCCAATCGAGCAAGGCAGGCCAACATTCAAATTCAGGAAATACAGAGAATGCCACAAAGATACTCCTCGAGAACAGCAACTCCAAGACACAACATTGTCAGATTCACCAAAGTTGAAATGAAGGAAAAAATGTTAAGGGCAGCCAGAGAGAAAGGTCGGGTTACCCACAAAGGGAAGCCCATCAGACTAACAGCAGATCTCTCGGCAGAAACTCTACAAGCCAGAAGAGAGTGGAGGCCAATATTCAACATTCTTAAAGAAAAGAATTTTCAACCCAGAATTTCATATCCAGCCAAACTAAGCTTCACAAGTGAAGGAGAAATAAAATCCTTTACAGACAAGCAAATGCTGAGAGATTTTGTCACCACCAGGCGTGCCCTACAAGAGCTCCTGAAGGAAGCACTAAACATGGAAAGGAACAACCGGTACCAGCCACTGCAAAAACATGCCAAATTGTAAAGACCATTGATGCTAAGAAGAAACTGTATCAATTAATGAGCAAAATAACCAGCTAACATCATAATGACAGGATCAAATTCACACATAACAATATTAACCTTAAACGTAAATGGGCTAAATGCTCCAATTAAAAGACACAGACTGGCAAATTGGATAGAGAGTCAAGACCCATCAGTGTGCTGTATTCAGGAAACCCATCTCATGTGCAGAGATGCACATAGGCTCAAAATAAGGGGATGCAGGAAGATCTACCACGCAAATGGAAAGTAAAAAAAGGCAGGGGCTGCAATCCTAGTCTCTGATAAAACAGACTTTACACCACCAAAATCAAAAGAGACAAAGAAGGCCATTACATAATGGTAAAGGGATCAATTCAACAAGAAGAGCTAACTATCCTAAATATATATGCACCCAATACAGGAGCACCCAGGTTCATA
The DNA here is from genome assembly GCF_000001405.40 of Homo sapiens. NCBI lineage: Eukaryota > Metazoa > Chordata > Mammalia > Primates > Hominidae > Homo > Homo sapiens. The sequence goes on from NC_000002.12 coordinate 52,422,195, forward strand.
AAGCAAGTCCTTAGAGACCTACAAAGAGATTTAGACTCCCACACAATAATAATGGGAGACTTTAACACCCCACTGTAAACATTAGACAAATCAACGAGACAGAAAGTTAACAAGGATATCCAGGAATTGAACTCAGCTCTGCACGAAGCAGACCTAATAGACATCTACAGGACTCTCCACCCCAAATCAACAGAATATACATTCTTTTCAGCACCACACCACACCTATTCCAAAACTGACCACATAGTTGGAAGTAAAGCACTCCTCAGCAAATGTAAAAGAACAGAAATTATAACAAACTGTCTCTCAGACCACAGTGCAATCAGACTAGAACTCAGGATTAAGAAACTCACTCAAAACTGCTCAACTACATGGAAACTGAACAACCTAGTCCTGAATGACTACTGGGTACATAACGAAATGAAGGCAGAAATAAAGATTTTCTTTGAAACCAACGAGAACAAAGACACAACATACCAGAATCTGTGGGACACATTCAAAGCCGTGTGTAGAGGGAAATTTATAGCACTAAATGCCCACAAGAGAAAGCAGGAAAGATCTAAAATTGACACCCTACCGTCACAATTAAAAGAACTAGAGAAGCAAGAGCAAACACATTCAAAAGCTAGCAGAAGGCAAGAAAAAACTAAGATCAGTGCAGAACTGAAGGAAATAGAGACACAAAAAACCCTTAAAAAAATCAGTGATTTTTGCATTAGTCCATTATGCAAAATGTTGACAATTCCAATGCTATTGCATATTGTGTCAAGTAAAAAACAAAACACAGCATCAATAAAATAAAAATAAAATTAGAATCAACTACACTAGCAAGTGATAGCTTCTGCTTATTTTTTACCCTATTACCTCTTTCATGCCCTATTTCATTTAGCTTTCAGAGGGTATTTGTTGGTTAGTTCACACACTGCACACATTAATAAAATGTGCATGGTGATCTTGTTCTTCTGAGCTTTTCAAGGGATTTGACTCTCAAAGTATTCAAGACATTTTTCTACCAGAAATTTTGCATTGTCGGTAGACAAATGTATTTACCAAGTGTTTGTGTGAGACTCAATTACATGGATATGATGTAACAAAATCCCATTATAGAAGATAACCACAGTTAAAGTAATTTTAAAAGAATGTCAGATATCCTTCCTCCTGCCAAGTAAGTATTGTTTTCTTTTTAAATTACAGCTAACCTAAAGTTATATCAGATTTAAGACTGTGCAAAATCAAATGTTAGAATCAATCTATTCTCCACTGCTGAAATTATTTGCCTTAATTCAAAATGACATGCTATTTCTTCTAACACTGCACTTAATTTTTAGCACATTTCCCAATAGAACTTTTCTGCTCTATCTTATTGGTACCTGACAATTCTAGAATATGTTGCTGAACTTGACCTTTGTATTCATTTACAGATTATAACATTTAGAAATCTCTGTTGACATAAATCAGATATTTGGAACATGACCAGACAAATGGTGTTCACTAGTGGTACAGTATTTTTAGGTCATCATAAAACTCCTTGGACCCAATAAATTAACTGCCCCTTAACTTCCTACCACCCATCCCCGGAACAAAATGTGGTTTTGTCATGCAGATATTGTGCTTCAGCAGAGGGTTACCTCTGCCGTAAAAAGATCATTGCCTCACACCCATAGTAACTCTGGTTGTTCCTTTATTTGCTGGGACTAGAGATATTATAAGTTATCTGGGCAGGCTAATTGATCCCTAGGAGGGGGGCATAGGAGAGCAGGTCTCACTCTTTGACTGGCTTATTTACCTAGTTCCTTAACTAGATCATAAATTCCTAAATTTACCTGCTTCCTTAACTAGACCATAAATTCCTAAGGGTAAAGACCCTATTCCATTCACCTCTATACTAAATCAGCAGTATGCCTGACTTAGTATGTGAACTGATGAACGAAATAATTTATCTTTAGTATGATCTGAACTACTGCAGTGCCTTGGAAATAAAGACTATGGTTAAGGAAGAAACTATGGTAATGTGTTTTATGCTAAAATCAATGTTAATCATTGCTTATTAAAAGTGCACAGACCCCTTAGTCCCATTTGGGTTTTAATGAGGTAAATGGTGCTGTTATTCTAATACGTATATTATATTTCTGGATGTCTGTGAATAGGAAAGGATCTATGGCTATAGCTAAATGAAGCAATACAAACTAGCAAAAGAAAAGAGAAAAGGAAGGAAGGAGGGAAGGAAGGAAGGGAGGGAGGGAGGGAGAGAGAGACAGAGACATAAAGAGAAAGAAAGAAAAAAGAGAGAAAGAAAGAAAGAGAAAGAACAAATGACAGGAGGGAGGCAGCGAGGGAGGAAGGGAGGGAAAGAAAGAGAGAGAGAGAGAAAGAAAGGGAGAAAAAGAGAGAACAAGAGAAAAGAAAAGAAGAGATGAGGAGGAAGAGGAGGGGAAGGAAGGAAGGAGAGAGACAGAAAGAAAGAGAAAGAAGAAAGAGAAAGAAAGAAAAAAGAAAGAGAAAGAAAGAAAAGAAAAGAAAGAGAAAAGAAAAGAAGAGGAGGAGGGCAAGGAAGGAAGGAGGGAAGGGGGGGAGGGAAGGAAAGAGGGAAGGCAAGGAAGGAGGGAGGGAAAAAAGAAAAAATAATAATGGATTCATTTGATTTGCCAAAGGGCACATTAAGAACTAGTCTTTATATTTTGAGTTTACACTTTTTTATTTTGCTGATCCCCTAACTAGGCTGGTTGAATACTGAGTACTTCTTTAGAGGGTTTATCAGTTTGGAACTCTGTATTAGCCACCTAACATTCAAGCTCTACCACTCTTTCACTTTTTACCTTTTCGCCTCAGCTTCTAATATTTGCAATAAATTAGTTGTTCTGATTGAGTTTGTCTGCAAATTCTAGTGCCTACCACCTAGAGCATTAAGGTAAAGAGAAAGACAATAGGTGAACATGTGGGGCTTCATGGACTCTCTAAAATTATATATATATAATATTTTACCCTGGAAAGCATGGCCATAGCTCTTTATTATCCTTGCAATGGAATCTGTGACTGCTCCCAAACAATTTAGAATCATTTTTACCTTATTGTCTGTACTATCACTATTATGTGCTCTCAAAGTACCCACTTTTTTCCTTTTTAAAAATCACCACATGACCAAATTCTAGGCTCTAATCCAATCTTGTGTCTATAAAAATTTATCCACAGCTGTATTAATAATCTCTGAACACCTAAACACTTGATATTTACCCATAAGATCTTGTATTGTTCGTAAATTTTTGTGTAGACATCTCTCCAATTAGGTATCAGGTTTTGTGTTTATTTTTTAAAAACTCTTTCGAAGTTTTATAGTAATTTTTTACTGTCATAGCACACTATTAATTTATACTAATTATTAGATGTATAGAAACAAGCACTTAAACCTATAAAAATTGATTGGGTTCATAGAAGAAAGAGTTGTACAATCTATAAAGAAAATATCTGGGAACAGATATTTACAAATATTTATGCGAGAACAAAACAGCCAAAAAATACATGCATATTTGAACTAGAAGAGCTTGAGGATTTCACTATTTCATTCAAGGTTTAGAAACAGAGTCAAAAGTGAACATATTCTTACTTTCATAATTTTAGCAAGGCTTTTTGGTTCAAAAATTTTTAATAATTACTTTAACAGTGTTTCTTTGGAACATTTCCATTATAACCCACTGAGAATGTGTGCAGCTTCATATCAGCTGGAGGTAAACCCTCATAGTGAACTGTGAAAACCACAAGTTATGTATGTATAGTGTGTAGGCGGCTAGGGGAAGAGAAAATATAATGGTATGTGAAGGAAAATAATAAATATATTATAAATCAAAACTCTTAATTTATTATGGCTTTATGCTAATCCTTTACTTTATGGTCTTGATTTAGTAAGAAGACAGGCGGGCAGGCAGGAAGTAAGGAAAGAATGAAGGAAGGAGAGAAGGAACCAAGGAACCAAGTAATGAAGGAAGTCTATGTACAATACAGACATTGTTGCAGGTAAAAAACAATGTGCTTATCATAATTTCTCCTGCTTACTTTTAAAAACAAGTGTTCATTTATTGATTAGTCAAGAGCTCTTCCATGCAAAGTCCATAGGTGAAAACCGAACAAATGTTGGTACATCAGTTTCCTCCAGTTGACACAGCCCACAGAAGTGGAAATGTAATTAATTAGACGTCCTTGACAGTTTTGCACCCAAAGTGATTCTGTAAACTAGTATTTTCAGATTGATTGTCTGCACTGATGGACTTAACTGAATATCTCACCACTTTCTCACCAAAGTGGAAAATGAATTTGCACAACCAATGTAGTCAAGGCTGCATGAAGGAGTTATCATTTGCCTAAAATTAATATCTGATGTGTATTTATTTAAGGAATGTGACTATCAAATCCTGTAACACATATCTCAGGGTCATTAAGTGTCATAGCATGAATATAAAAAGCCCGTAAATTTCTATTTCATTAAGCACATGTGAAAATTATTTGAATTTTTATTTCAAAACTGTCACAAACATAGAGAAATTGTGCATGAAAAGTACAAATAATATTTTTTCTCAACCATTTGAGCCTAAGTTGCTAACATGATGTTCCACCATCCTTAAATACCTAAGGATGTGTTTTCTGTAAACATGGACATCCTTCTATATAGCCATCAAAATGAGAAAATTAACGTTGACACATTATCACCATCTACTCAGCAGCCACTAGTCAATTGTTCTAATAATGTTCTTTAAGGAAAAAACAACCAACCCAAGATCATGTATTGCATTTAGTTGCCAGATATTTTTAGTCTTCTTCAATTTTTCCATGACTTTCATTACCTTAATAGTTTTGAAAATTACAGGAAAATTCTTTGTTAGAATGCCTCAATTTGACTTTCTTCTATCTTCATGAAGAGATTCCAAAATTGATATGTTCTAATTTTATCCATTTAGCAGACAATTTCATTTTTTTCTATTATTGATAAAGTTAATTTTGATCACTTGGGTCAGGTAGGATCTGTACATTTCTCCACTGTGAAGTTATTCTTTTCTTCCACCTTTTAAATAATAAGTAACTTAAAAGACTACTCTGTAACAGTTTGTAAATGTTTTATTGTGTTTTTGAAAATGTATTTATTGATTTATTTATGTCAATATGGGGTCATAGATTACTATTATACTCAGTGATTTATAATCTGTTGTTATCATTATTTATTTTGATGCTCAAATCATTTAAGATTTGGCTGCTGGTAGTTTCTTTAAGTTAGATTCTGTATCCTTTAGATATGTTGCCATCATTGTTTAGGTGTTTCCTTGCTTTCTAACACAAAAATATACTCCTGGCTCATCTTACAGTTTCTTTGCTTCACCCCCCACAAATAAGCATTACTCCCTGAAACTGTGGTTCTTTTTAGAGTGGCATTTGGAGTCTAAGGTCTGGGTGCTAGGTGTGCTGATGCTCCTAGGCCCAGAAAACAAAGCTAGTGAATATAGTGGCATGTGTGTGTGTGTATACACACATTATTATACACATGCATTTAGACATGTTTATGTGCGCATATATTTACACACATTTACAACTATATACACATTTATACAAATATGTATATATACACGTTTATATAAACGTGTATATATACACGTTTATACAAATATGTATATATACACGTTTATATAAACGTGTATATATACACATTTATACAACTGTGTATATATACACATTTACTTCTATATTATAGACACATAGATAGATAGATAATTCTTCTTTTACACTGACATCAGCATACCAAATCCAACATCACAGGTTAATTCTAGTTTTATACCTTTCCATATCTGCAACTTTCTTTCTTTGACAGTGAGAAGTTAAGAGTCCATTAGCCTCAACTTTTTTACCTGTTTGAGCTCTACTCTCCTATGTGTAACCCGTCATCTTTTGCTACCTGTGTTCTACCCAACCTCCTACCCACTATGGAGATTCCCTTTTCACCCCACTCTGAATCCAGCACCCATCCCGAGTCCCCACTGCCACTTCCCTCTCACATGGGTGCTCTTCTCACTCTACCTGGGCACCAAAAACCTGCACTAGGCTGCTGCCATTGCCACCAAAAGTGTGGCCCTCCTCACTTTGCTCTGTCTGCCTACCTAAGCTAGCACTCTCTTTACCCTGCTCAAGCTCCAGTGCTGCAGGCTGGAGCACTAACACTGCTGCCTCCATTCTGCTTGGCTGTGGGGGTCCTCCGCCTCCCACATGCATACCTACTTCACTCAGTCCACCTAGTGGCTTGTAGCGTGATTTGTTCAGGAAGGAAAATGAAGGAAAGACAAAAGAAAGCAAGAAAAAAAGAAAGAAAAAAAAGAGAGAGACAGAAAATAGAAGATATAGAGGGGAGGAGGAAGAAGAGAAAATAAAATGACAATAGATTTTTGAAAGCATACCACCAATGCATGCTTAAAAGCAAAACAAAACAAAATAAATATGCCTGGCAAGGGCTCTCACTGCTTTACAATTCCTAAAATCTCACACATTGTTGGAGTTAGAGTTTTCTATTACATTCAGTAGCAGGGCCAGTGAACATTTGTAAATAGATTTAGAGGATCAAGAACCACCCAGAAAGAGTACACACAAAGGTTTTCAACAGGATGTTCATCTCTAGGTTCTGCTTTGGTTCAATTCAAGAAGCACTAAATAATCATTTATAACATGAGACCAGACTTCAGTAGCATGTATTAAAAATAATTTGTGGGAAAAAAGTTGTAGATAGAAACAGAGATATTACCAGAGTTATCAATGAATCAGACTTGGAATTTAAGGCAGGTTGGAACAGTATGGTAGATAAGAATATGGACTCTGCAGCCAAATGCCTTGGTTTAAATCTTGGTTCAGATACTGACTGTATGATCATGAGTAAATTAATAAGAATATCTATTTCAATTTTCTTCCCTATAAAATGGGTATAATAACAGTAACTACCTCATGAGGTTGTTGTGAGGATTAAATGAAATAAATTTTCTAAATGATGGAAGAGATACATTATTGACTATGTAAGTGCTTACAGTTAATACTGAGATGGGGTAGGGATAGTGTCCACTTGCTAAGAGTCTGCTAGTTTTAGAAACGGAAGCCTGTCAGCCTAAAAGGAGAAGCAGTCTAAATAGGAAAAACAATTTATTAGAAGACTAGATCTGTGAGTGTAGATAAACAGAAGTCTGGAAGCTACGTCAGAGGAAAAGCTATGGTCAGCTAATTTATATGGGAAAGTTGAAATGGCATTAAAAAAATTGTGACAGAAATTTTATTCATGTCTGCTTATGTAGGTAAAGAAGTGAAAAGTCAAGGGGGGAGTTTTATGCTGGGTTTGTCAGGGTAAGCATATTATAGGCACTTGAAACTATATTTTCTAACATTGAATAAACTATAATTATCAGTACTTATGATCTAATCAAGTAGCTTTGTGATACTTTTCTGGCATAGAATTACTCTTATTTTTACTCTCCAATTTCCAAGTGAAGTGTAAGCTAATTTTTTAGGTTTAAAGTCAAAACAGAGGAAAATTACATCTTGATTTCTCAATATTGTGACTGATACTCAAGAAAGAATTGTTTATGATCTCTGCATTCCTCCTACCCTGACCAACAAATTACTTTCATGGACTTCGGAATGGTAAAAACATAATGTGGAGAGAAACTGTTGGACTTATTCAGAATCTGATTCAGTTTTTCACTTACGTGTGTGTCACTTTGAGTAAATCAGGTCTGAGTTACATTTTTGCAATTTCATCTACTACATAATGTTCTCTGAGAGCAATAGAGATAAAATATCTCTGACATTGCACAATGTCTGGCCCATATTAAGTAACGAAGCATAACACTGAGGGAGAAGTAATACCTCTTATAAAAAAAAATGACATTGATTTTCAAGAACTATACCTCAAAACCCATGCAAAATATATCAGATCATTGGAGAGGTAATACTTTTGTGCAATTTGCCTACAGGAAGAGAGCAGTCAGATCAACATATATATTTAGTTTGGTTAAGTTACATGTGTTACTCTCCCAATTATTATGCCTCATTTGATTTGTATGTTTTATTCCTTTTGATTACTGAGTCTCCATTTCTAAATCTAAACAATATGGATTTTCAAAGGATGCAAGATGGCTAGCAAGACCATCATTAGCAGAAAAGCCTGCAATGTAAAAGCTGTAAGCATTGTGAAGGTTTTTAAGCCTTGATATTCCAAATACATTTATTTTTGAATCTCAGGAGACAGACAAAATATATTCGTTTAATTTGAAGACAGTCACAGTGGAACAAAAATATCATCTAAACCAAAAACATGATTTAGGTTTTTCTGGAGGAAAAAAATATTACCCAAGAGGTTGACCTTTTTCATTAATTTCTACTAGGAGCAGCAATAAGATTTCTTGCAGGATAATCTTTGTTTGCAAGGCGTATGGCTAGCATCCAGATTGTAACACACCAAAGTGTGAAACACAACTAAGAAAGTCACGAATCATACCAAGTAGGGTGTTCTCAGGTGGGACTTAATGTGTCTTTGCTTCAGAGTGGGGAGACACAACTGAGGCAAACATTTTGTGATCCCCACATTCCTCAGGTGCTTTCTAATGTCCATCAGAGAATGAAGACATACTCTCTTCTCTGAAGGTATTTGCAGTTGCCCTTCATGGAGTAAAAAAGGAACAAATGATTCTTACTATATATATTGAAAATATAGCCAGTTAATGAATACATAATGAGGAGAGAGGCCATTTCTCTTACTGTCTCCTGTCTCTGAAGAGAAGGAGGAAGTAAAAGCTGAAAATCAACAAGAATGAAGTCAGTGGCAAGACCAATTGGTGCCACTGACCAGGCCTGAGGGTAAAGATTAAGCCCTCCATTCTAACCACATGTGCTCTCAATCGATCACAACCCTCTCACATGGACCCCTTAGAATTGTAAGCTCTTAAAAGGGCCAGGAACTGTTTCTTCAGGGAGCTCGGTTCTTGAAATGCAAGTCTGCCAACACTCCCAGCCAAATAAAGCTTCTTCCTTCTTTAACCCGGTGTCTGAGGGGTTTTGTCTGTGGCTTGCCCTGCTACATTTCTTGGTACCCTGATTGGGAATCAAGGTGATTAACAGACGGTCGTAGGCAGCTTAGGCCTGCCCTGCAGAGCATCCCTGTGGGGGACTCGGGCCAGCTTGAGCGATGTGGATCCTGAGAGCGCTCCCGGGTAGGCACTTGCCCAGTGGAACGCCTCGTCAGAGTGGTGCACAGCAGGCCCCTGCGGAGGATCAACCCACTGGCTGAACACTGGGAAGGAACTGGTGCCTGGAGTCTGGACATCTGGAATATGGTAGGACGGGTCCTGGGAACTTGCCCATTCCATTTGAGTAGAAGCATGGTCTGATCACCCACAATGTGCGTTTATCGGCACTTTGGTCTCAGTATTGATTTTGATTTGGCTTGACTTGTTAACACAAAGGAAAGTGAAAGTGAGTGAGTGCTAGAGTTTGAGACGGTCGGGGTGAGTGAGTGACCCCTTTACCCTTTCCTTCCTGTGGTGTGAGTGTTGTTTTGTCTCAGGAGGAAGATGGGTGGAATGCAAAGTAAGCCCACTCCGCTAGGAACTATGTTGAAAAATTTCAGGATAGGATTTAATGGAGACTATGGAGCTACCAGGACACCAGGAAAACTTAGAACTTTGTGTGAGATAGACTGGCCGGCATTAAAAATGGGTTGGCCATCAGAAGGAAGCCTAGACAGGTCCCTTGTTTCAAAGGTATGGCACAAGGTAACTGGTAAGCCAGGACACCCGACCAGTTTCCTTCCACAGACACTTGGTTACAGCTGGTTTTAGACCCCCCACAGTGGTTAAGAGGACAGGCAGCAGTAGTACTAGTGGCAAAGGGACAGACAGCCAAGGAAGAATCCCGCTCCACCCACCGAAGGGAGTTGGCTCCTAAAGTCCTGTCCAACCCAACATCAGAGGATTCATGGCAAGATATGGTGCCAGTGCCCCTCCACCTTTCACCAAGGAGGAAGGCCTCCCACTCCTGAGCCCACTGTGCTTCCACAAGGCCTACATACCCTTAGGCCACCCAGAGTAGAAAAGAAAGGATGCAAGACCTTGGGAGAAACCCCTCCCTTGGGAACCCGTTTGAGGCCTAGAACTGGGATAGAAATGCCCCTGAGAGAGCAATGGTATAGTGGGGTAGACAAAGATGGGCATATGGTGGAAAGGCATGCCGTTGTATACCAGCCCTTCACCTCTACCGATCTCCTCAGTTGGAAAAACAATACCCCATCCTATAAAGAGAAGCCTCAAGCTATAATTGATTTGCTCCAAACTATTATCTAGACCCACAACCCCACCTGGGCTGATTGCCACCAGTTGCTCATGTACCTCTTTAACACAGATGAAGGGAGGGGAGTGCTCCAAGCAGCAACTAAGTGGCTGGAAGAACATGTTCCAGCTGATTACCAAAACCCCCAAGAGTATGTGAGGATCCAATTACTAGGAACAGACCTCCAGTGGGACCTAAATGAAAGATGGGGTATGCAAAGGCTAAACTGGTACAGGGAAGCCCTTCTGAAAGGGTTAAAGAAGGGAGCTCGGAAGGCCACAAATGTTAACAAAGTCTCTGAGGTCATTCAAGGAAAAGATGAGAGCCTGGCACAATTCTACGAGAGACTATGTGAGGCCTATCGTATGTATACTCCCTTTGATCCTGATAGCCCTGAAAATCAGCACATGATTAACATGGCTTTCGTTAGTCACAGCACAGAAGACATTAGAAGAAAATTGCAGAAACAGGCTAGGTTTGCAGGCATGAATACTTCACAGTTATTGGAGACAGCCAACCAGGTGTTTGTGAATAGAGATGGGGTAAGCCACAGAGAGACGTGCAGAGACAGGGAACACCAAGCCCGGCGAATGCTGACCTGCTAGCCGCAGCTATTAGAGGGGTCCCCCCAAAGGGGAGAGAAAAGGGGGACCCCAGGAAAAATACTTACTTTGGCCTTCCACGCTTGCGGCATAACCAGTGTGCTTACTGTAAGGAAACAGGACATTGGAAGGACAAGTGCCCCCAGTTGAAAGGAAAACAAGGTAACTCTGAGGAGGAGGCCTCAGACAAGGACAAAGGGGCCTTGTTCAATCTGGCAGAAGGGTTACTGGACTGAGGGGGACCAGGCTCATGTGCCCCCAAAAAGCCCATGGTCAGGATGACAGTCGGGGGCAAGGACATTTTCTTGTCGATACTGGTGCTGAACATTCAGTAGTGACCACCCCTGTCACCCCCTTATCCAAAAAGACTATTGATATAATCGGAGCCACAGGGGTTTAGGCAAAGCAAGCCTTCTATTTGCCCCGGACCCGCACTGTGGGGTAGGGGGGGGCATGAAGTGATTCACCAGTTTCTGTACATGTGTGATTGCCCCTTGCCTTTGCTAGGAAGGGACACACTTAGCAAGATGAGAGCCACCATCTCTTTCACAAAGCACAGCTCTTTATAGCTAAAGCTACCTGGAACGGGAATCATCATGGCCCTTACAGTTCCTCAGGAGGAGGAATGGAGACTCTTCTTAACTAAGCCAGGCCAAGAGATAGGACCAGCTCTGGCTAAGCGGTAGCCAAAAGTGTGGGCAGAAGACAACCCTACAGGTCCCATAATCACAGAAATTAAGCCTGGGACCCAGCCAGTCAGGCAAAAATAGTACCCGGTCCCCAGAGAAGCTCTAGAAGGTATCCAGGTCCATCTCAAGTGCCTGAGGGCCTTTGGAATTACAGTCCCTTGTCAGTCTCCATGGAACACTCCCCTCCTGCCTGTTCCCAAGTCAGGGACCAAGGACTACAGGCCGGTACAGGATTTGTGCTTGGTCAACCAACCTACAGTGACTTTGCACCCAACGGTACCTAACCCATACACATTGTTGGGGTTGCTGCCAGCTGAGGATAGCTGGTTTACCTGCCTGGACCTGAAAGATGCTTTTTTTAAGCATCAGACTAGCTCCTGAGAGCCAGAAACTATTTGCCTTTCAGTGGGAGGATCTGGGGTCAGGTGTCACCACTCAGTATACTTGGACCTGGCTTCCCCAAGGGTTCAAGAACTCCCCGACTATCTTCGGGGAAGCACTGGCTCAAGACCTCCAGAAGTTTCCCACCAGAGACCTAGGCTGTGTGTTGCTCCAGTACGTCAACAACCTCCTGCTGGGACACCCCACAGCAGTCGGGTGCGCTATGAGGAAGGATACCCTGATCCAGCACCTGGAGGACTGTGGGTATAAGGTGTCCAAGAAGAGAGCTCAGAATTGCATACAGCAGGTACGTTACCTGGGATTTACTATCGGACACAGGGAGCACAGCCTGGGATCAGAAAGAAAGCAGGTCATTTGCAACCTACCGGAGCCTAATACCAGAAGGCAGGTGAGAGAATTCTTAGGAGCTGTGGGGTTCTGCAGGTTATGGATCCCAAACTTTGCAGTACTGGCCAAGCCCCTGTAAGGACTCACAAAGGGGGGTGACAAGGAATCTTTCGAATGGGGGTCCCAAACAGCAACAAGCTTTTCATGTGTTAAAAGACAAACTCATGACAGCCCTAGCCCTGGGGCTGCCTGACCTGACAAAGCCATTTACACTGTATGTGTCAGAGAGAGAAAAGATGGCGGTTGGAGTTTTGACCCAGACTGTGGGGCCCTGGCTGAGGCCAGTGGCCTACCTCTCTAAACAACTAGACGGGGTTTCCAAAGGTTGGCCCCCGTGTTTGAGGGCCTTGGCAGCAACTGCCCTGCTAGCACAAGAAGCGGAAAAACTAACTCTTGGGCAAAACCTGAATATAAAGGCCCCCCATGCTGTGTTGACTTTAACAAATACCAAAGGACATCATTGGCTAACAAATGCTAGACTAACTAGTTACCAAAGCTTGCTCTTTGAAAATCCCTACATAACCATTGAAGTTTGCAACACTTTGAACCCTGCCACCTTACTCCCGGTATCAGAGCCCAGTTGAACATAACTGTGTAGAGGCATTGGACTCAGTTTATTCTAGCAGGCCCGACCTCCGAGACCATCCCTGGACATCAGTAGACCGGGAGCTATACAGGGACCGCAGCAGTTGTGTCAACCCACCAGGAGAGAGGTGTGCAGGATATGCAGTGGTAACCCTGGATGCTGTCGTTGAAGCCAAATCATTGCCCAAGGGTACTTAAGCAAAGAAGGCCAAACTCATTGCTTTAATTCGGGCCTCAGAGCTAAGTGAAGGTAAGACTGTAAACATTTACACTGACTCTCGGTATGCCTTCTTAACCCTACAAGTGCAGGGGCGTTATATAAAGAAAAAGGCCTGTTGAACTCTGGGGGAAAAGACATAAAGTACCAGTGAGAGGTCCTGCAATTATTAGAGGCAGTGTGGAAGCCCCAAAAGGTGACAGTCATGTACTGCAGAGGACACCAGCGAGCTTCCACCTCGATTGCCTTGGGGACCTCCTGAGCTGATTCAGAGGCTCAAAAAGCAGCATTCACCCAATACTGGGCATCAGTCACAGCCCACCCCCTGCTCCCTCAGGCACGTGACCTTGTACCTACCTATTCTGAAGAAGAGAAGGACTTTCTCCAGGCAGAGGGAGGGCAGGTGATAGAAGAGGGATGATTCCAGTTATTGGACAGAAGAATAGTTGTGCCACAGCTGCTAGGAGTCGCAGTCGTACTGGCTGTGCGTGAGATCACCCACCTAGGCCAAGAGTTGTTAGGCCAGTGCTTCTACGTCTGGCATCTGTCAGCCCTTGCCAAAACAGTGGTGCGGCAGCGTGTCACCTGCCAGCAGCACAATGCTAGGCAAGGTCCAACTGTAACACCTGGCATGCAAACTTATGGGGCAGCCCCCTTTGAAGATCTCCAAGTAGACTTCACCGAGATGCCCAAATGTGGAGGTAACAAGTATTTGCTAGTTTTAGTGAGTACATACTCTGGGTGGATGGAGGCCTATCTAACACGAACTGAGAAAGCTCGTGAAATAACCGATGTGCTTCTCCGAGATCTCATCCCTAGGTTTGGACTGCCCTTATGAATTGGCTCAGACAACAGGCCGGCATTTGTGGCTGACTTGGTACAGAAGACAGCAAAGGTATTGGGGATCACATGGAAACTATATACTGCTTACTGACCACAGAGTTCCAGAAAAGTGGAGCAGATGTATCGGACTACGAAAAATAGTTTAGGGAAAGTGTGTCAAGAAATAGGATTAAAGTGGGTATAAACTCTCCCTATGGTATTGTTCAAGATTAGATGTACCCCTTCTAAAAGAATAGGATATTCCCCTTATGTAATATTATATCATATATATATATATATATATATGCCCCCTCCCATACTACAGGGACTCCCAGACACTCCTTGAGAGCTAGGTGAAATTGAGTTACAGCAACAGCTACAGGCTTTAGGGAAAATTACACAAAAAATTTCAGCCTGGGTAAATGAGAGGCACCCCATCAGCTTATTCTCCCCAGTTCACCCTTTCTCCCCAGGTGATCAGGTGTGGATCAAGGATTGGAACGTAGTCCCCTTGCGGCCATGGTGGAAAGGACCCCAGACCATCGTCTTGACCACTCCCACAGCCATAAAGATAGAGGGAATCCCAGCCTGGATCTACCACAGCCGCATAAAACCTGCAGCACCTGAGACCTGGGAGGTGAAGCCAAGTGTGGACAACCCCTGCAAAGTGACTTTGAAGATGACAAGCCATGCTTCAGTCACACCCGGAAGCTGACTGGTCCGTGCACAGCTGAAGCATGAGGAAACTCATAGTGGGACTCATTTTTCTGAAAGTCTGGACTTGTACAGTAAGGACTTCAACTGACCTTCCTCAGACTGAGGACTGTTCCCAATGCATACATCAAGTTACTGAGGTAGGGCAAAAAGTTAAAACAGTCTTTCTGTTGTATAGTTATTATGAATGTACTGGAACTCTAAAAGGGACGTGAAGCTCATCCCACCCAGTACAAGGGATGCAGCCCAAGAAGTGACCAGATGTGCTATAACCCATCAGAGCCCCCTATGACTACAGTTTTTGAAATAAGATTGAGGACTGGCAACTGGGGAAAAGCTGATACAAGTAAAGTAACAACTAGAACAGAAGAAAAAGGAGTCCCCAAACAAATTATCTTAAAACTTGACACCTGTGAGGCAATCAACAGTGACCTGTATGGAAATAGAATAAGATGTGGCTCTCTAGATTGGGAAAGGGGCTAGAGGAAAGTAAGTATGTTTGTCATGAATTAGGACTGTGTAGTGAAGATGAGAGTGAGAACTCCCACTAGTGAGTGAGGTTCTCAAAGTGGGGAATGTAGAGAGAAGCCATTTCTCTTGCTGTTTCCTGTATCTGAAGAGAGGGAGAAAGTAAAAGCTGAAAATCAACAGGAATGAAGTCAGTGGCCAGAACAATTGGTGCCACTGACCAGGCCTGAAGGTAAAGATTAACCCTCCTACCCTAACCACATGTGCTCTCAATCTATCACAACCCTTTCACGTGGACCCCTTAGAGTTCTAAGCCCTTAAAAGGGCCAGCAACTCTTTCTCTGGGGAGCTCCGTTCTTGAGATGCAAGTCTGCCAACACTCCCGGCCAAATAAAGCCTCTTCCTTCTTTAACCTGGTGTCTGATGGGTTTTGTCTGTGGCTTGTCCTGCTACAATAACAAGGACTAAAATGGGCCAATCTTTACTGAAACAGGGACCCTTAGGTTGAAACTTATAACTGTATATACAAAAGATTTTCTAACTAATTAAAAAAATTCTATTCTGTGTAATAAAATTCCACTAGTACTAAAAATTCCCACTATATTATTTGAACTTTTACTATCCATGGATAGATGGATCAATAGTACTCTACTTAATTAAAGACATAAACAGTATTAATCAATTTTGCTACTATTAGGTTAGTGCAAACATAATTGCACTTTTTGCTATTACTTCTTTTTTTTTGAGATGGAGTCTCGCTCTGTCCTCCCGGCTGGAGTGCAGTGGTGCGATCTCAGCGCACTGCCAGCTCCATCTCCCGGGTTCACGCCATTCTCCTGCCTCAGCCTCCCGAGTAGCTGGGACTACAGGCACCCGCCACCATGCCCGGATAATTTTTTGTATTTTTAGTAGAGACGGGGTTTCACCATGTTAGCCAGGATGGTCTCAATCTCCCGACCTCATGATCTGCCTGCCTCAGCCTCCCAAAGTGCTGGGATTACAGGCATGAGACACTGCGCCCAGCACAATAACTTTTGCACCAACCCAATATACTAAGCAATTCCACAATCTCAGGGGATTACAAAATCCAATTTCTGTTTATATTAATTACATGTTGGTGGGTGTAATTCAGCTGCTCCAAGTCTTTTTATTCCAGAATCTAAAGGCAGACTCTTGTAATGTCTTTACACTATAGGAATATTTTGGAACAAAATAGCATAGAAAGATAAGCAAGTGTATTGGTAGAAAACATAGTATCTTTTAAAGCTCCTGCTCAGATGTGGCACGTCTCGTTCATACTTCATTGGCTAAAACCAGCCAGCTGGAAAAGTGCAACAACATCATGGAGATATCGACTATGCCACTGAAGATGCTGCAAATCAAAAGGTGAAAGGTGGAAACGTATAAGCCTTTTGACAACAAAGAAGTTGGGAACAATAATTTAGAACACATACTCAAGATATATTCTTTAAATATCATGGGTGTCAACCTTGCCAAAAGTCATCATTTCTCAAAATCACAACTGGGCAAGCAGTTTGAGATCAGTTTTCATATTGTGATCAGATTGTTGGAGTAGAACAGAAAAAAATCAGTTGATCAAATATACGAAGACAGAATTTTTCCAGTATATAAATATAAATGAATAAGATCTACCTTATAGGTTGTTAAAAAAGTTGAAATAACATAAGTGAAACTCCAAAATATTTGATATAGAATACCATGTATATCAATAAATTTTATTCTCCACCTGGTTTCTTACTAAGAATCAGTTAAACGAAAATTTCTAGTCCTCAAAATATTCAATATAAATCTGATATGCAGTATGTAACAAATGAAATACTTGAATACATTTTATGGGGCGTAACAGTGGAGATAAAGCCTGAAATAATATAATGTCTTAAAAATTCGTATATGCAGCCTTTCATCTTTTTTCGTAAAACACAAGAGAATAATAAAAAAAGGAGAGAGGGAACATGTAACACTAAAGGCTAGATTGAGTAGTTTTATGTCATATTATATGATCTAATTTTTTTTTAATTAAAGGATTTAAATTCCTGGTCAATATGTAAAAACTGCATTCAGCATAAGATTATTATCAAAGGGTTGAAAAAACAAATATTGCACAACAATATTGATTTCTGACATGTTTTTTACTTCTGTAGCTTCATAAAAATATTATTTTATAAACTTTATTCTCAAAAAGAATTCCTACCAAGATTTCTTTAGAACATAGCATTTTAAAATGTCTAAGCAAAAATGCTAAGATCTGTTCAATTGTTCACATTACTGTTTGGTACACTTATTGTACTCCAAACTTTTTTTTTTTTTTTTTTTTTTTTTTGAGATGGAGTCTTGCTGTGTCTCCCAGGCTGGAGTGCAGTGGCGTGATCTCCGCTCACTGCAAGCTCCACCTCCCGGGTTCATGCCATTCTGCTACCTCAGCCTCCGGAGTAGCTGGGACTACAGGCGCCCGCCATCAGGCCTGGCTAATTTTTTTGTATTTTTAGTAGAGATGGGGTTTCACCGCGTTAGCCAGGATGGTCTCAATCTCCTGACCTCGTGATCCGCCCACCTCGACCTCCCAAAGTGCTGGGATTACAGGCGTGAGCCACCGCGCCCGGCCTACTCCAAACTTTTGTGGAGAAGAATCAATATAGAGATTAGGAAAAAAAAAATCTGATCCTAGAAGTGATGAGTTAAATTATTATGCAAAGAATTGTATTGTACTTTATGAAAGATAGTGATCAAGATGGACTTAACATTCTCTTCAGCTTGACTAAACTATAGACAGCCTTCCACAGCACTATAAACTCCTCACCTCCCTTGTCCTAGAGCATTTACTTTAGAAAACTTGCAATTGTAGATCCTTTCTCTGCCCCTTTGAGATGTAAATCTTCTCCCAAATACTTGCCAGCTGTAATACCTAGGAATGTCTTCAAAGATCAGTGAGTCATTCCTTTGAAATGTAGTCACCCAAGAAAGATAAGACGTCCATGTCTTTATGAAAGGCTAGAATTCTAACTTTGTTAAGTACCAATTAGCAAACATAGATGGTCCAATAGCACTGACCAACTTTCCTTCCTTAAAGTCCTCCAACACATGTCCACTAGTTCATCCCAGTGCTTATAAGTCTCCAGCCATTTATTTCAGGAGAGTTGAGTTTAAATTCTTTTCCCTATTGCAATAACCTTGACCTATTTCAATAGTCTTGAATAAAGTGTTCCATGCTTATTTGACTCCATCTAGTGCATATTTTCTTTGACAATAGAAATAACTCCTTCCTAGATTCATTTACATACAGCCCTAATTAAAGGAAAGAAAATACATTAAAGCATTTCTTGAAGGTTTTAAGTTTCTCGAATGGGGAAACACAAAGCAAAATGACTTTTAAGATCATTGGTTATTTCAGAAGGTGATACCTGCTCCATAGTTTTAACACGGTCATGGGGCCTTTACTTTACATCCCCCAAAAAACAAACTTTGAAAATGACATCATTTGATCAACAGTAACCAACTCCACGAAGCAGCGAAAGAAAATTAAATTTACTTGTAGCCATCCAAATGCTGTTTCACTGAAATGCTGTGTGGCAGAAATAATACTAAGACGTAAATCCATTTTCCAATTTAAAAAGACAAGGCTTCGGTGATGAAATGGAGTGCAGAGAGCAGTATTATCATATATTATGATTGAAATATATTTCCCTGGTGGTTTTGCCCAAAAAAGTATGAAATCGAGACAGAAAATAAAACAGGTGATGCTGTAGGCAGAGGGTTGGTGAGTATGCATCATCCAAAATGCTTAACACACTGTTGGTTTTCTGATTGATGGGAATTCAGATTATGTCTTTGAAAGACCCACAATGAAGGTGATGATGGCCTGACTGCATAAAAAGACTCATTTAAGCTTTACTGTTCCAATCTATAAGCAAGATAGGATGCAATAAGTACATAGCAACAGTTAGGGTCTTGCTACTGCTGGTCTAATTAATGGTCCTATAGGTGAGAGGGAACAGAGTGGGAGGTGAGCAAACCTTTCTCATGTCTGCAGGAAAACTGCAAACTCTGTGAGACTATGTAGATTACTTTGAGGTTGCTGGGGAACCCACTGGGGTTGAAGAGACATACTCAGTACCCACATTATCTTTTGCTTGTTCAAAGCATAAATAAATAATCTTTCCAAATTATATACACAAATGTTAAAAGGTATTTAACTTTTGACTGTTTATTTAGCTTTTCAAAAATGGAAGATATTAAGTTTAGAGTTTCAGTTTAGTGTTATTCTCAGTAAAAAGAGGAACTACAGAAATCGAGTAATATTGTGTTTCAATCTTCTAGTGCTGATAAATTAAGGGAAAACTTCATTTAAAAAATCTGCCTATCATCATCTATGTCTTGATCCATTGATCTATTCTCCTATTATATGTCTATGATGTATTTATCATCATCACATAGAATATAGTTATTTAGTAACCATCACAGTTTCTGACACCTAACAGATATATACACATACAAACAGAACTTATGGTTTAACCCAAAATTTATTTTCACTTTGTCTCTTGTCATTGCCAAATATAATGATTTACTGGATCTTAAATAATATTTTGCTCATCTTCTCAAAAATAGTACAACAGAATGAGAGTGGAATATGTGAGGGGAACCTTGATTCTTTCTATAGAAGCAAAGCAGGGGTATTTGTTGCCACATGCAAGTTCTTTAGCTATGAGCACAAGGACTGGGTAAACTCTCTCTGAGAAAACATTTATATTAAGTTTTCATCATCTCATTTCCATAAGAAAACTTAGATCATTTTTAACAAAAGAAAACAAGAATATGAAAAACTTTAGTCTTTATATGTTGCACTGCTTAATTAAGAATTAAAATATTAATTATTAATTAAATATTTATTTTAGGAGAACTGAAGATGAACACTTTTTAGGTACCTTAAAAAGAAAAATCATGATTAAGTTGTTATCTTTACTATATAAAAACGAATATGCTGTCTCAAGAAATTAAAGTAGTAATCAGGATATTTCTACAAAACTTGACCATTACAAATCTCTCTTCTTTTTTTCTATTTTTTTATATAAGACTCATATCTTCTTGAACTTCTTTCCCAAAAAGGTGACGAAATCAATGAGAGAAATTGCTTAAGGTAATGTTAAGTAGAAAATAGCAGAACTATATTTTAAAGACCAAAACAAATGTTGGGTGCAGTGGCTGACACCTTGTAATCCCAGCATTTTGGGAGGCCAAGGCAGGAAGATCGCTTGAGCCCGGTAGTTCAAGACCAGCCTGGAAAACATAGTGAGACTCTCTCTCCATTAAAAAAAAAATGAAAATTAAAATAAAAACCCGCTAAAAACAAACAAAACTCTGACTGATGTTTCTCCAGAGAAGCTGGATGTTTCATTTATTGCCTGATTCTAACATCTTCTTCATTGATTTTTGTCAAGATGAGTCAGAAACCTTCTCTAATCTCAAAACAAAATGGAACATCTAAATTATCTACATATGCAGCTCACATAAACTCATATTGCTACCAAGATGGGCTCACAAAAGATGACCTGCCATAGTGCATGAGCTGTTATAATAAACAATTCTTTCTGAGCACCTGTTCAGATAAAGGCAGCCATAGGCCATTACCTTGTATACAATTTGCTTTCTATACGATGTTTATTCATTCAACAAGTAATTTCTAGGATTCTGCTATGTATGAAACATAATACCAGACACTAAGGATATAAAGATGAGAAAGATGAGTCTAATGGACAAAGTCCCAGACCTCCTGAATAATACGTAACCCTAACCTACCTCACTAAAAACTGCTAAATGGAATTAGTGTCTCAACCCAAGACAACTGTCTGTGGACTATTCCATGGCTAATATAGTGGCCAGATGAGGCAAGTCTGCTCATTTGGGGAGCTCTCTATCATTTTTGGCTAGCAGAACAAATTAGATGCTTCTTTGAGAGCGTAAGTTCTTTGTTTGGCAGAGCATCCTAGGATTGTGTCTATTGTAGGAACCCCTGTGTCACAACTATTATTCTTTAGAATGACTGGGTCACTTAATATGAATATTAATTCATTTATTAAGCACGCATTTGTTGAAATGTTACAAGACGCCAGGCACTACGCTAAGAGTGAAGAAATTAATCAAATGAAACTCACTTTAATTCTGTATTTTAGGAATTTACAGAAATTCCAAGTAGATTGTATTTGTACAGAATGAAAACACGAAGATTAGGAGACAGCAGGGAAAAAATGATACTGGAATTCAGGAATGAGAAGCCTGGATTTGAAGATCTGAGGAAAGCTGCAAGAAGAGAGTAAGCTTATGTAGGATTTGAGTGTTGAAATTAAGGCAATGGTATTCCAGGCAGAAAATATCACCGTAAGAGAACACAAGTTTGGCCGGAGTAAATTGTATGTGACCAAGAGTCTTGGGAAATGAGACTTGACAGTTTAGATGGGGATAGATTCAAAAGAATTTTGCTTGACCATTGTAATGCTGTTTTTCTGTGTGTAATGGCTGCATTGAGATAAAATTCATGATATACAATTCACTCATTTTAAATGTACAAATCAATGGTTTTTAGTATATTTACAGTTGTGTAGCCATCACTACAATTGGTTGTAGAACATTTTCTTCACTCCTAAAGGAAACCTCATACCCATTAGTAGTCACTTCCCATTTACCTCCAGTTCATTCCCCTGTTGGGTCTCACAACCTAAATCTACTTCTGTCTCTATGCATTTGCATAGCTGTATAATTTATTTTAATGGTATCATACACTACATGGCCTTTTGCATCTAGCTTTTTTCACTTAGCAAAAAATTTTCAAGTTGCCAATGGTGCAGCATGTATCAGCACTTCATTGAATCTGATTTCTTTTTTTTTTTTTTTCGAGGCAGAGTCTCACTCTGTTGCCTGGGCTGGAGTGTATTCGTGTGATCTCAACTCACTGCAACCTCCATTTCCTGGGCTTAAGCGACCCTCCTGCCTCAGTGTTCCCACTCTATGTTTAACCCATTGAGGACATGAAAATCTGTTTTCCAAAGTGGCTCCAGCATTTTATATTTCCAGTAGCTATGTATGAGGATTAATATTTCTTCACATCCTCACCAACACTTGTTATTAAGCATGTTCTAGATGATAGCCATGTTAGTGAGTGTGAAGTGTATCCTATTGTGGTTTTCAATTTATTTCCCTAATGACTAATAATTTTGAGCATCTTTTCATGTGCTTACTGAACATTTGTTAATTTTCTCTGGAGAAATGTCTCCTCAGATCCTGTATCCATTTTGGAAATAGTTTATGTATCTTTTTTATTGTTGAGTTTTTATACATTCAAGCTGTTTTATACATTCTCGATACTGGTCTCTTTTCAAGTATATGATTTGTAAATATTTTCTCCCATTCTTTCTGTTCCATTTTCATTTTCTGCATGATGTCCTTTGAAGCACAAAAGTTTTTAATTTGATGGCATTTAAGGTATCTATTTATATTGTTGCTTTTGCTTTTGGTGTCGTAGTTAATAAAATTTCTAACTAAAGATCATGAGGATTTACTCCTATTTTTCTTGAACCAGGCATGTAGGTTTAGCTCTTACATTTAGGTCTATTATCCATTTCCAGTATATATATATATATATATATATATTTTTTTTTTTTTTTGAGATAACAGGCACAACTGTATTCTTTCCCATAAAGATAAACAGCCATTCTGTACTAGTGGTTGAAAATATATTCTTCCCCATTGAATTGCCTTAACACACTTGTCAAAAATCAATTAACCAATAAATATGGGGGTTTGCTTCTACACATCCAATTGTACTTCATGAATCTGTATTTCTATCCCTATTCTTGTGCCATACTGTCTTGATAACTTTATCTTTGAAGTTTAAAATCAGAAAGTTATAATCATTTAACTCTGTTTTTCTAAAAGATTTAGACTACTACTTTTCATTTACATTCTTACATAAATTTTAAGATAAACTTGTCAATTTCTTCAAGCTCACAGATGAGCCTTTTAGAGTGATGTATTGAATGTGTAGATTATTTTGAGGAATATTGCCATATTGACAATATTAAGTCCTACCATCCACAAACAGAAGGTATCTTTCAATTTAGGATTTCTTTCAACTATATTTAATAGGATTCAGAGTGCAAGTTTTGCACTTTTTTGGTTACATTTATTTTTAGGCTTTTTTAAATTTTATGCTACTTTAAGTGGAATTGTTTTCCCAAGTCCATTTATGCATAGTTGATTCCCAGTGTGAAAAAATATGATGGATTTTTGTACTTTGATCTTGTACCCTGCAGTATTGCTGAATTCATATTAGGTCTAGCAGTATTTAGTGAATTCCTTAGAATTCTGCAAACATAAATATCTTTATTTCTTGCTTTTCCATATGGATGCCTTTTACTTCTTTTGCTTGCCAAATTGTACTAGCTAGAACTTCCAGTACAATGTTGGACAGAAATAGCTAGAGCAGACATTCTTGTCTTATCCCTCATCTGAAGGGGAAAGCTTTCAACCTTTCAGTGTTAAGTGCTATGCTTGCTGTGGTTTTTTATACATTTCATTTATCAGGTTGAAAAGGTTTCCTTTTATTCTAGCTTTACTTATTTATATTTTGATGAAAGAATGTTGGGTTTCTCTGAAAAGTTTTTACTGTGTCTAATGAGATTTTTTCTTCTTTATTCTATAGACCTGGTATATTAATATTAATGAATTTTTGAATGTTAAACCACCCTTATATTTCTGAGATAAATTCCAATTGGTGATAATGTTATCATTTTTCTATGTTATTGGACTCAGTATGCTAATATTTTGTTGAGGATTTTTGCATATGTAAATATAAGGTCTATACTGTTCTTTCCTTGTAATGTCTTTGTTGGGTTGTGGTATCAGAGTAGTATTGGCCTCATAGAATGAATTATGACATATTTCCTTTTCTCATTTTTTGGAAGAGTTTGTTAAGAATTGTTATTAATTATTTTTAGAATATTTGTTAGAATTTATCACTGAAGCTACCTGGTTCTGAGATTTTCTTTGTAGAAAGGTTTTTAAATTACTAATTCAATTTCTTACATGTTGTAGCCATTTTTAGATTTTTGTTGTCTTTTTCAGTCAGTTTTGGCATTTGTGTCTTTCTCAGGATATGGAAATGTATCTAAGTTATCTAAGGCATTGGTATATAATTGTTCAGAATATTCCTTTATAATCCTGATCATGACTGTGTTATTAATAGCGATGTCTCCAATTTCATTCCTGACTACAGTAATGAGAGTCCTTCTTTTGTTCTACCTAGCTAAAGGTGTGTAAATCCTGTTGATCTGTTCAAGAAAGAAAATTTGATTTTGTTTTCTCTTGCATTGCTTTCTATACCATAAATCATTAACTTCTCTTTTATGCTTCTCTTTTTTTCTGTTTGCTCCAGGATTGTTTTGTTCTTTTTTCCAGTATATTGATGTAGACAGTTAACTTATTGATTTGATTTTTTTAAATTATACGCATTAATGCTACAAATTTCTTCTAAACACTGTTTTAGGAGCATCTCATAAAGTGACATGTTTCATTTTATTTTCATATGACTCAAATCATAATCTAATTTTTCTTGGGATTTTGTTGTTCACTCATTAATTATACAGATTATGTTGTTAAATTTCCACATAGTTGCCAACTTCCCAAATTTACTTCTGTTGTTGATTTATAATTCAATAGAAATTAGAACAATGGAAGTAATTGCAGAACATACTATGTATGATTGTGATTCCTTTAAATTTACTGGGGCTTGCTTTACAGGCTAACTTATGGTGTATCCAGGATAATGTTTCATATGCACTTGATGAGAAAGTGTATACCACTCTTGTTGGTGGAATGTTCTGCAGAAGTCTTCCAAGTCTAGTTGGTTTAGACTGCTGTGCAAATGTTTATTTCTTTGTTGATTTTAAACTTAGTGGCTCTTTCTATGTTTGAAAGTGTGTTATTAAACTCTCCAACTATTTTTGTTGAATTGTCTATTTTTCCCTCTAATTATGTCAGAGCAGACTCCATGAATTTTGGAGTTCTTTTTGGGTGAATATGGAATTACTTTATTTCTAGATTTACTGGTAAGTGTATCATTATAAAGTGTTACTTTTTTGTAGGAACATTTTTATCTTAAACTCCATTTTGTCTGATGTTTGTAAAGCTGTTCTTGCTTCCTTATGTTTGCTTTTTGTATGATATATAATTTTCTATCCTTTTGTTTTTAGCCTATTTATATCTTTAAATCTAAATTGTGTCTCCATATTTTTGGAATCTTTTTTTTTTTTAATTCAGTTTTCCAATCTCTACCTTTTGATTAAATTGTTTAATATGTTCACTGTATTAGTTTGTTCTCATAGTACTTATAAAGACATACCTGAGGCCGGGCGTGGTGGCTCACGCCTGTAATCCCTGCACTTTGGGAGGCCGAGGCGGGCAGATCACGAGGTCAGGAGATTGAGACTGTCCTGGCTAACACGGTGAAACCCCGTCTCTACTAAAAATACAAAAAATTAGCCGGGCATGGTTGCAGGCGCCTGTAATCCCAGCTACTGGGGAGGCTCAGGCAGAAGAATGGCCTGAACCCGGGAGGCCAAGCTTGCGGTGAGCTGAGATCACGCCACTGCACTCCCGACTGAGTGACAGAGCGAGACTCAGTATCAAAAAAAAAAAAAAAAAAAAAAAGACATACCTGAGAATGGAAAATTTATAATAGAAAGAGGTTTAACTGACTCACAGTTCCACACGGCTGGGGAGGCATGACAATCATGGTGGAAAGCAAAGAGAAGCTAAGTCATATCTTACATGGTGGCTGGCAAGAGAGCACGTGCAGGGAAACTCCCCTTTATAAAACCATCAGATCTCATGAGACTTATTCACTATCATGAGAACAGCAAGGGAAAACCTATCCCCATGATTCAACTACCTCCTACCGGGTCCCTCCCATGATACATGGGAATTATGGTAGCTACAACTCAAGGTAAGATTTGAGTGGGGTAAATAGCCAAACCACAATTAATGTTCTTATTGATATAGTTGATTTTGTCTGCCATTGAAGTTTTGGTTTTCTATATATCTCATGTATATTTTATTCCTCATTTCTCTTTTAACCTCTTTTTCATGTGGTGACTCCATATGACCTTTATTTTAGCCATTCTAAAGTTAGTTGAGTTACGTTCTGCCTAACCCTGTTGAGTAGTTGATTACTGTTATATTACAATTACTTGTTTAGGCCAACAGTTTGCTAACCAAAATTTCCAACAGAGTATATATAAATCCCTAAGATTTGAATCAAAATAATGCATGAGGGCCGGGCGCGGTGGCTCAGGGCTGTAATCCCAGCACTTTGGGAGGCCGAGGCAGGCGGATCATGAGGTCAGGAGATCGAGACCATCCTGGCCAACAGGGTGAAACCCCGTCTCTACTAAAAATACAAAAAAATTAGCCAGGCGTGGTGGCAGGCTCCTGTAGTCCCAGCTACTCGGCAGGCTGAGGCAGGAGAATGGCGTGAACCCGGGAGGCGGAGCTTGCAGTGAGCCGAGATCGCGCCACTGCACTCCAGCCTGGGCGACAGAGAGAGACCCTGTCTCAAAATAGTAGTAGTAGTAGTAATAATAATAATAATAATAATAATGCGTGATTCAGAATGTCACCATTCAAAAACCCATTTTATACAAGATTTTACATATATTTCATTATGCATAGTTAACAATAAGGTATTTATTGTGTTGTCATATTTTATTCAGTACTTCCCTCATTGTCTTTTTTTTTTTTTTTTTTTTTTTTTGAGACAATGTCACTCTATCACCCAGGCTGAAGTGCAGTGGCACAATCTAGGCTCACTGCAACCTCCACCTCCCAGGTTCAAGCAATTCATGTGCCTTAGCCTCTCCAGTAGCTGGGACTACAGGCATGAGCCACCACTCCCAGCTAATATTTTGTATTTTTTTTTTTTTTAAGACGGAGTCTTACTCTGACCCCAGGCTGGAGTGCAGTGGCATGATCGCAGCTCACTGCAAGCTCTGCCTCCCGGGTTCACGCCATTCTCCTGCCTCAGCCTCCCGAGTAGCTGGGACTATAGGCACCCACCACCACGACTGGCTAATTTTTTTTGTATTTTTAGTAGAGACAGGGTTTCACCATGTTGGCCAGGATGGTCTCGATCTCCTGACCTCGTGATCCACCTACTTCGGCCTCCCAAAGTGTTGGGATTACAGGCGTAAGCCAACGCACCTGGCCATTTTTTGTATTTTTAGTAGAGACAGGGTTTCACGATGATGACCAGGCTGGTGTCAAACTCCTGGCTCAAGTGATCTGCCTGCCTTAGCCTCCCAAAGTGCCAGGATGACAGGCGTGAGCCACTATGCCCGGCCAGTACTTTCCTCACTGTCATAGAGTGCGTCTTAAAAGACAAACATAAACCAATAAATTACATTAAATAAATATCTAGTAATAATAGTGGTTATAATTTTTATTTATTACAGTACCTAGAATATTCTATGCACAATAAGAAAAGATTTCCTCTGGGTCTAATTAGTTGATTACATCTTGCATTTGAATTAGAGTGATGTATTAATTATAGTTTGACTCCATGAATATTTACCTTGTCCCAGATACTAAATTTTGATTTACTTGGATTTCAAAAATACATAGCCTCATTGTAATTCCATTTCTAAAAATAAAAGGCAAACTCAGTTTATCAGAATTTTAAAAATTGAATTTTCAAGCATTTTGTTCTTATACTATAAAAAAATGTGAACAAATACAACCCACATGTAAAGACATTAGCAGCCTATCATTTCTAAGGTCACACGTTTCTCCTCTTTTCAGTTACATATACAAAACAGTTGGAAAATTAAGCTTTTTGGAATGCTATTGCCCCTACCATCTTAGCAATGAGATTATTATAAATTCACCTCTAATGGGAGTGGAATTGATATAACAAAAAGATGTAAACCAGCTGTTATTTTTAAGTCAACATCTTTCTATAGGCTACACAAATAAGCTGTCTTTTGAAATTTGATGAACAGCAGCTACTTACAGAGAAACATAAAATATAATGATTCATTATATGCTGTGGATTTTCAGTTGAAGAAAAGATCTTTAAGATTTTAACATTTTATGACGTTATGCTTTGTATTAGTATTTTACTGCAGAAATACATTATTATTTGCAGATTTCCTGCTCTAAAATTATAAAAACATATTGTAATAAATAATATTCTGAGCAATTGATCAGTGTCTGAATTTTTTAAAATGAATTTTCATAAAGTATGATACAAAATATTTTTAAATGTTATTTACTGAAGTATAAGCCTTTAAAAAATAGGTCTGGCAATTTTCTTGTTAAGTCTAGTTTTTGATATTTTATTTTTCTTTGAATATTATAAATGTAATCTTTCTACCATTACATTTATAACTGCTTATGGTCTGTGGTCATATAAAATGTTTTTAATTCTACATTTTAGTTATGTTAACAGTCATCTTATTGAATGTTCTTATGATTTGCAATAGGTTGTCTGTTGTTTTGATTGGATTTTCTAGGTGTGCAATGACGTTAATAGCACACATAGATACATATTTTCCCTCTTTGAGAATACCTAATTCTTTTATTTTGATTTAACATCTTCATACACTGTCTGAAACTTCCTGAAGGAAATGTTAATCATAGTGGTAGACATTCCCTTGTCTTCTTCTTAATTTATTTTAGAACAATTTTATATTTCACCACAAATCAAGTACGTAGGTATTATGTTCATTAAGTGTTCTCATGCTCCTATTTTGCTTCCAGCTTAATTTTTAGTTATAAATAATTTTAGTTTTCATGAAATGGTTTTTGTGGGTACTGTCGAAGTGGATATATATATATATATATATGTATATATAGTTCTTTATTAATCTGTTGAATTAAATTAGATTGTCTTAATTTTGCTCTTTTTATTCCTAGAATAATACCACTTTATTACACTACTACTGAAATTTATTTTACTTAGCTTCTTAAAAATTTTATTTAAGTACTTTGTTTAAGTAAGTTTTATTGATATTTTTAATTCCATTTGTGAGGTAATGGTTTAAAGAGTGCATGTCTATATTTTCTTCTTAAACGTTTGAAACAATTTACACATGAAATCACTTCATCTTTCATCCTCCACCTTTTTATTGTAAAAGTTAAATATATACACATACACACAGAGTAAGAGAAATAATGTAACACTTATTTTCTGACCATGCAAAATAGATATTTTGCGTTCATTAATATTTGGCAATTTTATCTCTTTAACTTTGGCCTTAGATTTTTAAAATAATTATAACATAAAATATTTTTGATTTGTCAGTGAAGTATTTGGATTTTTAAAATATATATACAGACATCATTTTTCTCTGAAAATGATTTTTTTAACCCATATACCCTTTGTGTATTTTTTCTAGGTTTCCTTCTTTTGCTAGACCACCAGTACAGTATCAACAAATACTGATGACAGAAGTATTTTTCTCTAGTTTCTTCAAAATGCTAGTAATGTTTCACCACTAATTTTATATTTCGTTCAACATAAGTTTTTAATATATTTTATTGTGGTTAAAAACATATATGATATTTACTATTTTAACCATTTGTAAATAAACAGTTCAATGGCGTTGAGTACATTCACCATGTTGTGCAAGCATCACCACTGTCTAATTCTAGAACCTTTTCATCACCCTATCAGAGACTCTGTGGATACTGAGTCTGAGCTGGAAGTAACTTTTAGTGAAGGGCAACATGGACTGGTGTATACCAGCTATATGTGCAAAGTGTTACGGTAACAAGAGCAAGAAGCAAATGAATTTGATTGACCGGTTTGAGAAAATACCAGAGGAGATGTGAAATAAGTTTTGTCTTTGAAACGTGAGCAGATTAGCCATAGGTGAAGAAAATGGCAAAGCATATTAACAGGTCATAGAAACATTAGAAACAAAGTCCAAAAGGAACTGAAGCCAATGCTAAGTTTATGAAACTGGATGTAATCCAGTCAACAATGGGGGAGGAGAGTAGATGAAATTGCAAGAAGTGAGATTTTAGAAGATTTTGAAAACCGTATGAGAGTTAGACTTTATTCTGTTGGTCCCAGGAAGTTTATTTGCTATTTTTCACCTGTTGCATGAGGCAAAACTACCTCTGTTTTTGGAGGCCATTATGGCAGCATTGTAGAGAGAGAAAGCAGGTAAAGAGACAAGTGGAACCAATGTCACCATTGTGAAGCACTGACACCCAGCAGTGGCAGTGGAAATGGAAAGAATGACACAGAGGGTATTTTAGAATCAGACTCAATGCACCTGGACATCTCCTTCGCCCCTCACAGTCCCTCACTCACCTTTCTTCCTCACCTGCCTTGCCAGTCCTCTTTCAAACTGCTGCTCTCCACATTCCTCCAGTCACTGAAGCACAACCTCCCTGTAGCCCAACGTTGATCATACTATTCTCATACTTGAAAGTACTGATGTCGCTCCTCCGTAACAGAGAAATATAATCTTATTTTTTAAACTTGGCATTCAAGAGTCATAATGATCTAACTCTATTACCTTTGCAGACTTGTCACATTTCTAAATGTATCTTGTTTCAATAAAAGTAGCCTCTAGCTCTCTCTAAGACTACTCTTCATTTTCTGCTTTCTGTTGCCTTTGTTGCACGAAATAAAGTCCTACTAATACTTAAAACCTCAACTCAAATATTATCTCTTTAATAAACGTACATCAAAAGTATTCAGTTAGGTATACACTCTTCTACATTCTTACGGTGTTCTGCTCTCTTTTTTTCTCACGTGAAGAGTTACTGTATATATGGTATCCCATATAGGATTTCCATATGACATCTATGTCTTAATTTCAAAGCCAAGTCTCTCATAGAATAGATGCTTACAAACATTTAACAAATTAAAGAATTAGTACACCTGTTTGTGTTCCATTATACTCAGTGTAAAGTCCAGACTACAGCGGCCTAAAATGCCATGCCTGACCTGGGCCTCCTATCTCTCCAACCTCGTCTACCACCAATTACCTTTTTATTGGGCATCCACACCAAGTTTGTGCCCACATTAGGACTTTTATATTCACTACTTCCTCTGTAGGATGCTCAGCTACTAGGAGGATCCTCGCTACTTTTTTAATTATTTCGACCTCGCCTTCCTCAATGAGGCCTTCCTTGACTTCCCCAATTACACTCAATCACATCAGGTCTTTCTTTTCATTTTTTTAATTATCACTACCTAAATTGTCTTTTAAACTTTTAAAGTATTATTAATTTTCCCTCTACCTTTTCTGAAATCTAAGCTCTGCTAGAGCAGAGATTGTTTTTCTTGGTCACCTATGTATTTATTGGGTCTGTAACAGTTTTTAATCCTCAGTACTCTACACATGTTTGTTGAATTAATTACATGTATCACACCTTTCAAATTCTTCTTCTAACTAAATCTAAAATGAGTAGTAAGCTGGAAATGGGAGTTTAAAAAGTGAGAAAAATTTTCTCCTGACTAACTTAGTTTCTCCTAAATCTACTGCAGGGGATCAGTTAATCAAATTATTTTAGAGGAAATTTTGTTTAAGGGTTCATGACATATCCAATGGCCATAGTGACTGAATCAGACATTCCCAGTTGTAATTCACCAGTGAGCTGAAACTCTGTAATTAATTATCTTTCCATTTGAGGGAACATGTTACCATTACATGAAGATCAGTCCCAGGAACTGGTTTTCAAGGCAGGTTTAAGTGGCATACATTGGCCAGATGCAGTGGCTCACACCTGTAATCTCAGCACTTTGGGAGGCCAAGGTGGGCAGATCACTTGAGCTCAGGAGTTCAGGACCAGCCTGGGCAACATGGTGAAAACCCATGTTTTGTATTTTGTAAAAATACAAAAATTAGCCAGGCGTGGTGGCATGAGCCTGTACTCCAGGAGAATCACTTGAACCGGGAGGTGGAGGTTGCAGTGAGCCCAGATCAGGCCACTGCACTCCAGCCTGAGCAATAGAGTGAGACTCTGTCTGAAATAAATAAATAAATTACATTATATATAATACGTTTCTGCAATAGTGCTACTTCTTTCCCATTTCCAACTCTTCTATTATCCTTTTTGTTTGGTTTTAAACAATAATTCTTTATGTTCTACAACTAAATATTTTAATTTTATAATCCCTTAATTTTTTATTAGTTATAATCAGTTAGGGATATTACAAGTCACATAGAAAGTTTGTTCACACTTGGATGATAATACCTGTGATCAATGAATCTTAGAGCAAAAGGTGAGGAAAACCTCATTATCTTTTTAACCCCTCTGAAAGTTTCCTTTGCGAAAGCAATAATGAATATGTCCTTTATCCTTATCTATTTTAAACCAACAAAAATTCAGTATAAATCAGAGGATGTCCAACCATCACATTAACAACCCAAAGGTTAATACTTAATAACAACAGGTGTATATAATGAGCACTAACCATGCTAGACACTTTGCACACTTTCTTTCATTTAATTTTCATAACATCCCAGTGAGTTTGTATTATTAACATCCTATTTTAAAATAAGAAAACTAAAGTCTTGTGAAGGTTAAAAAATTACAAAGGTAATTTGGCAATCTTTTTAAAGAGAGTCTCTTGTTTAAATCCATGTTCTTAAATGTTAAGCCACATTGTAATTTTACTACAACCATGTCAGCAAAAAGGAGTATGACAACATTTTCAAAGGTCAACCAGTGCTTATCCACAGTTCTAGTTATTGGGTAATAGTCTAAACATGCCAAAACTGACCTGCAAGATTATGCCCCAGAATTAGGACTCAAAATTTTCATTATTCAAACACATATTTCTGTTAATACACAGTATGTGCCTATGTTATGATCTATATACATTCCCTTGCAATCCTTGATATAAGACCATAAAATTTTCATTAATTTCCAATTTTACCCAGAGTACCACAACACCTCAATGCTAACTAACTGGTAAGGAGGGTGGGATGTAGAGGAGGGAATTAGTGTATGCCAGCTCACACTGAAATATACATCAACTCACATATATGAGCACATGCACATACACATATATACATATACACATTTAAAATAGATAACAAAATGAAATTAAGATATTATCAATTTTACACAGATAAGCAAGAAATAGTCACAATAACATAGGCCTTCAACAAAGGGCCAAATAAAAGAGAAGCAGATAATAAATAATTCATAGAAGGATAGGAAGTAACTGCTCTGCACTGGGGTGAACAGAGAAGTCCCCCTCTGTGTGCGGTAATTTAGCTGGGTCTGATAAGGCCATTTCACAGGCAAGCGCAGTTGCAAAAGCAGGTGCAAAAAGTGGGGGGGAAATACTAAAGTAATATCATGTAATTAGTTGCCCAAGAAAAGGCAATAGCACAGTTAAACACAACTGACAAAGAGGATCTGCTTTGCCTTTTAATTCCTTTTGATGTTTTCTTTTTAGCTGTTTTTCAAAAAAAAGAGATACAGTATTTTTCAGATTTGACATTTATAAACTAAAATTTTAGGTTTTTCAATATAATCCTTTTAGGTTATTCAATATCATCCTTCCCCTGAAATACATCTTCTTATAGATTTTAAATGATTAAAACAAAACTGTATATTAGTACTGACTCCCCAAGGTGTCCCACTTCTGTCTTTTTTCTTTTAATTCCTGGAATAGTCAAGAGATTTGAAAAACAGTGTTATGAAACAGGGTGATTATAAATTTTCTACTACTTTTAGGAGAAAAATAAGCTGATTAATAGTTTATGTCTGTCATTTTATATAGCAGCTTGGGATAGCATTTTCCCTGAATTATTAACAACAAATATAAGCTTGACAAGTCAAATAAATAATTAAACAAGAACCAACTGAGATGCATTTGATGCTAAATTGGATAGAGGTACTGTGGTATAATTAAAACTGCAAATATTATAGTAGTAAGGGAAACCTAACTTAACTGACTCCATCTTGCTTCTACCAGTCTAGATTGCTTTTGCTCATTCCTGTGTGAAAGCCATAATAGTCCTTTCCTGTTCCCTTCCTTGTTGAAAAATTGAAACTGTATTTGAAAGGTTAACAAAAGGTCACAAGGTTAGAATTATGGCAGGAGCTGAACTTTCCTAAAGAATGGGCATGGTTAAACGTAACTATTCACTGCTTATTTAGCTTGCTTTTCTACAAGTTGCTTTCAGCTCCAGAGTCACGTAACCAGAGGTCACAAGAATTATTACTTCCCCAACTACTCCTATAGATAACATTACTATTGTGTAACCTAAAGAACTGGTCTTTGAGGTATTTTTCAGATTAAGCATTTTGGCAAACCAAGACACACTGCCTAGTCCTGAGACCCCCCATCTCACAAGCTGACTCAGACAATTCAGACATCACAGTGATTTCATCTCTAGTCAATAGTTTCAGTTCCCCAGCCCTCTGCAGGCCAAAGTATCCTTAAAATCCCCAGCCTCTGAATTCTCAGGGAAGTGGATTTGAGAAATTTCTCCTATTCTCCTTGCCTGGCTGGCCCTGTGATAATTAAACTCTGTCTTTCTTGCAACACCTGCTGTTCTCAGTGCACTGGTTTTTTCATGGAAAGCAGATAAGAAGAACCCACTGGGTTATGACATAATGAGAAATATATCTGGTTTTTGTCCTTGGTTCCTAGCCCAGAGCTCCTAAAATCCTTAGAATTTCCCTGAGTGGTAGGAGTGTCTTTTGTTATTCATAAGGAGCCCCTTTTGATCACATCAGAGTTTATGCTAATGAGATTTACTTAGGATGGGACACTTAGATAACCTCAGGATTAAAGGGTCGGAACTTTCAGCCCTACCCAGGAGCCTTGCGGAAGTGGGGCTAGGGAGACTGGAAATAAAGTTCTATAAAAACTCTCCAACAACCATATTGGATGAACATCTAGATTGGTAAGCACATTGAAATACTTGGAGGGTGGCACTCCCGGAGGGTGCATAAAGAAGAAATAAGACTATCTTGATTTGCAGATTACATGTTTGCCTATATAGAAAATCCCAAAATAGCTATCAAAAAAATTATTAAACCAATAAATGAGTTCAGCAATATAATGAGATATAAAATAAAATGCAGTAACATTTTTAATTACCTCATATAAGATAAATACTTAGGTATAAATCTAAAAATACATGTAGAAATCTATATAATTTAAATTACAAAATGCTGATTAAAAGTTGATCTGCCTGTAATCCCAGCACTTTGGGAGGCCGAGGCGGGCAGATCACGAGGTCAGGAGTTTGAGACCAGCCTTACCAACATGGTGAAACCCCGTCTCTACTAAAAATACAAAAATTAGCTGGGCGTGGTGGCACATGCCTGTTAATCCCAGCTACTCAGGAGGCTGAGGCAGGAGAATTGCTTGAACCAGGAGGCAGAAGTTGCAGTGAGCTGAGATCGTGCCACTGCACTCCAGCCTGGACGACAGAGCCAGATTCCGTCTCAAAAAAAAAGTAAAAATAAAAATAAAAGTTGATATGTCTACAGTGGTCACAACAGGCGAACCAGATAGGCCACCCCATTCCCCACACCGCATATTATGATATCCTGCTCACGATAGAAAGTAACTCCTAGGACAGGACTCATCTCCTACTCCACAGATTACATGCCTAGAATTACAGTCCTATTCTGCTGCAGTGTCAGCATACTCACGGTCAGCATGAGCAAGGTCTCTACCTGCAACAGTGAGTGGGCCAACCACCCAGACTTGCAGTATCAAAAGAGTCTGGCAGGATCCATTCCCAGCTAGTTCCCACTGGGAAACCTAACTGACCTGCAGGCAGCACAGAGAGGTAAAGCACAGCAGAATATAATTGCCAAGGTTCTGAGAACTAAACTGTCATTGAAACTAAAACTTACAAAACTAATACAGGACTTAAATGTAAGCCTAATAATGTGACCCCCTGCTAAAATAGAAGTTTTAAATAGGATCATGAGTATCCCATGAAAATGTACAAAATGTAAAAGAAACAACTGAAAATCTCTTGTAGTACCAATAACTAAGAAAAAGCACAACTTGACAGAGAAAAAAAAAATCAATAAACATCAACTCTGAGATTATTCACATGTTGAATGATATGACCAGGATTTCAAAGCAGTCATCACTAAATTGCTTTAGGAAGCAGTTACAAATTCTCTTGAAACACATGAAGAAAAATTGAAAATCTTAGAAAAGAGATAGAATTATAAAAAATAAATGAATGAAAATGTTAGAACTGAAAAATATAACAGCCAAATAAAAACCCGACTAGATGTTCTCAAAAGTAACAATGACACAGGATAAAATCAGTTCAACCTAAGCAGTCATATTACCATTAAACAAATCTAATTTGCAATTCTAATGCTCCTCCTCCCCAGAAATCTCTAGGCTTAGATGTTTTCACCAGCAAATTTAAAAAATTAACAAATTCGCTCACTCTTTCAGTACATAGAAAAGAAAGGAGTGCTTCTCACTCATTTTGAGGCCAATATTACCTGTTAACCAAACCATACAAAAAACAGTAGGAAAAAATACTACAGACTAATATCTCTCATGAACTTAGATGTCAAACCTCTCAACAAAATATTACAAATTGAATTTATGAAGTATAACCATCATGACCAAATGAGATTGGTTTCAAGTATGTGAGAGCGATTGCATATTTGAAAATCAATCAAAGCAATT
The DNA here is from genome assembly GCF_000001405.40 of Homo sapiens. Taxonomy (NCBI): domain Eukaryota; kingdom Metazoa; phylum Chordata; class Mammalia; order Primates; family Hominidae; genus Homo; species Homo sapiens. The sequence goes on from NC_000002.12 coordinate 52,459,134, forward strand.
CAACATAACAACAGACTGAGGAAGAAGAATCATACAATCATATTAATTAACATAAAAAAATTTGAAAAAATCCAATACCCATTTATTGTAAAAATTCTCAGCAAACTAGGGATAAAATTAAACTTGCTCAACTTGATAAAGATCATCTACAAAAACACCTACAACAAAACATCATACCTAATGAGCTTCTACTGAGAACAAGGCATGAATTTCTGCTATCACTACTCTTGTTCAATTTAAGACTGGAAGCTCCAGCCGTTACAATAAGGCAAGAAAATGAAACAAAAAGTACACTGATTGGAAAGGAAGAAATAAAACTGTCTCTATTTGTAGATTACATGTTTGCCTATATCAAAAATCCCAAAACATCTATCAAAAAATTACTGAACCAATAAAAGAGTTCAGCAAGATAGTGAAATACAAAATAAAATGCAATACCATTTACATTTGCCTCATATAAGATAAATACTTAGGTATAAATCTAAAAATACATATAGAACTCTATATGATTTCAGTTATAAAATGCTGATTAAAGAACTCAAAGAAGACAGAAATAACTGGAGAGACTTACCATGTTTATGTATTGAAAGACAGCATAATAAAGATCTCAATTCTCCCCAAAGATGTAGAGGTTTAATGTATTCCTATCAAAAACACAGCAATTATTTTTTGGATATAGAAAAGCTTATTCTAGAATTTATATGGAAAGGGATTGGCCTTAGAACAGCTGAAATTATTTTAAAAAAAAAGAATAATGTGAGAGGAATAACTCCTGCTAATGTTAAAACTTGCCACGTACCTATTTTACTATAGGTAAACAGACAGTGTAGTACTACTAAAGAAACAGTCACATAAATCACTGGGACAGAATAGAGAACCCAGAAATAGACTCACACAAATATACACAATAGATTACTGACAAAGGTGCAAAAGAAACTCGATGAAGGAGGGATACCATTCTAACAAATGGTACTGGAACAATTAGACATTCTTAGTCAAAAAAAACAAAACAAGCAAACAAAAAACACTTGACCTAAATCTTGCATCTTATAGAAAACTTAACTGGAATGGATATCAGGCTTAAATGTAAAATGTAAATGCAAGGTGTTTGAAAAAAATAACTACAACTCTTTGGGACTCAGAACCAGGCAAAGAGATTCTATATTTGATACTAAAAGCACAATTCACTTAAAAAATTATAAATTTGGACTTTACTAGAGGAAAACATTTAATTTTTAATTTAATGTTCTAATTATCAAATGAAAATTATAAATTGGACCTTAATAAAATTAAAAACTTGCATATTGTGAAAACCCATGTAAAGAGGATGAAAACAAGGGTCCCAGACTGGGAGAAAATATTTGCTAAACACTTATACATAAAAGGACTATTGTCTATAATTTACAAGCACTCACAAAGGTTGACATTAACAAAGAAGATAATTCAATCAGAAAAATGGGCAAAAGACGTACTAGTGGGAATTATAGAAATTATATTATTGAAGACATTACACTATATTTTTATCTGCAAGTTATAAGGGTTTCTTTCAAAATTAAAAATAGGCTTACCATACAACTTGGCAATTGTGCCCTTGGGTATTTTTCCGAGAAAAACAAAAACTATGTTCACACAGAAATGTGTCCGTGAAAGTTTATAGCAATATAACTAATCATAGCAAAAAATTAGAAACTACACACATATCACCTCTTGAGGTGGGAATGTTTAAAGAAACTGTGATACACATCCGTACCATGAAATAGTACTCAGTAATAAAAAGGAATGAACCATGGATACACACAAAAACTTGCATAAACCTCTAATTAACTATATTGAATGAAAAAAGCCAACATCAAAAGTTTAACACTGAGAATATGATCTGACTTATATAGTGCTCTTGAAATAACACAGTTATAGAGATGGAAAGCAAGATTAATGGTTGTCAACATTTAGAATGGGAGAGCCTGGGGTGTGGCTACCAAGGAGCTTATGGTGGTAGTTACAGCTTCCTTCACACCATTTCCTCCAGGCCACTGGTGATAAAATTGTGATAAAATGTTATACAATTTTATCACAAATGAATGCATTTATAAATGGTAAAATCTGAGCAAGTTCTGTGAATATTGCCAGTGTCAGTCATTGGGTTTTGATATTATACTACAGTTAAACAAGGTGTTAACATAGGGAGAAGTTGGGAAAAGGGTGCAAGGGACTACCCTGTACATTTCTTTGAAACTTCCAGTGAATCTAGAAGTCATTCAAATTTAAAAATTAAAAAAAAGCTAATTGTACTATAAGCTACATAGAATCACCTTTTCACGATAAAGGTTCAATCAACTTTGAATTGCTTTATTGTCTTCATTGAATCCTAATAGAACATCTTTATTAGGTCCTATTATCTGTCAGATGCCTACAGACTCTAAATTAATCCTTCCAAAAAATATTGCCCCACGCTAAATGAGGAATGATGTAAAAATCAAAGTATTCTGATGTAATGGAATAATATTTTCTTCTAATTTTTAAACTCATGCTTTCATATCTATAAATATGGTTATCTCTGTGAATTTTTACTCTTTTAAAAAATCTCAAGTTGTTACCTTTATTTTCTCATTTTAAAAGCAAAGTGATTATAATTCTAAGGATCTTTTAACCACTGTGTTTACATGTAACATGAAGTGTCAGTGGTAAGACCTGAAGGAGAAAAATGTTTGAACGGCATATATGTTGTGGAGGAGAAATGAGTAGTTATGAATACTTGACTCCTGCAGAAGCAAACTAAATTATCTAACTCAAAGTTTCCATCTTCCATCTTTTCAAATACGAGCATATTTCTTTTGCCCTGAAATAACAGTCTCAGGTCAATCTGTAAATAAAAAAAGAACTTTGCTGCTGATGTGTCACATTATCCTTTGAGTGCAGGATGAGAACTGAGGGAGCGCTAGGGGCTTGGCAGCTGGCTCCTCATCAGCAAGCCATCTCTTGCTTGGTTGGCAAGATTAAAAATGGTTATTGCCTTAGGAAGTAAAGAGTTGCCTGGAGGAAATGGCCTGAAGGAAGCTAAAATGCAGCACTGTAAAATCAATAATATGGCAGAAAAAAGGTTATTTCGTCAACAGAGGAACTTTGAAACCTCTTTTTGTTCAGAGGGTGCTGTAGCAGCATTGACAAGTTATAAAGTAAACAAGTTCGCTAAAATTTTTGTAATTATTTTAAAAGTCAGTGCTTGTTTTCTGTGTTGTCTCATTACAGCATCCTCAGAGAGAAAGACTTGGGCCTTTCTTTGTATTAGTTTTAACAATATTTACTTTTATGTGACAACATATACACCTAATATGACTATTAGTATACTAAGTTTCCATCTGTGGAGCTTCATTTTGTGAGAGGATGGTTGTGTCACAGTAACTAGCATATTACACCTATTTGTTTAATTTAAACCTGAATTTGAGATGATATAATTAAAAATGCAAAGCTAGAGATAAAAGGGCAATAGTGAAGAGAGGTTTTCTTTCACAAGAGAAACTACAGTAAAAAATTATTTTACATAAACATAGACATCCGTGAATGTAGATGGGTGAAACACTGGGACTATCCAATAAGGGACAGAGTACGAATGTAGGGACTAGTAAGTGGGAATTCCATTTGAACTGAGTAGTATTATTTTCTGATTAATAGGAGGCCTCATTTGAAGACCACAGGTAAAAGGGATAGCTACCCATAGAAAAATATCAGGGAAAGCATTATGCAATCTAAGTAATGCTGGGAAAATAAAGCCTAGTAAAGAATGAGACAAATGAACTCAAATTTTCCCAACTATAATGACTGAGTGACGTCTTCAGATTAACCATTAGAACAGAATGAGCAACAAGAAGGAAACAGTTGATCAGTACGAGAACAAAACACAACTAAACAATAAGCAAGAACTTAACTAGTTAGATCTGTTGATGCCAGAGGGGCAAGGGGAGAAAGACCAGCGACATCCAGTCTGTACTGCTATACCCTATAGTCAAGGGTTCCATTACTAGCTACTAAATTATATAAAAAGGAGAAACAAAAAAGCAGATATATGTGAATGGGTTGATATAAACTCATTAGCCTGCTTTAGAGTCATCTCCAGGACCAAATGTGAGCCTTTCTTAAAAAGGAGAGATTTTTAAACAGGATGTGTATTTATGATAAATATACAGAAGAAGAATACATAGATATAAATTATTAGATGTGAGAAATAAAGGCCTTTTTTATTGCAATGAGATATAAAGTATTTATTTCCCTTGCAATCTTTATAGTCTTTGCCTTTATCAGCCTAAATAACATAGAGAGGCTCTCTAAAGGAGAAGATACGTATTTGGGTATAGAGCATTGTAATGGGAATATGCATGCTATAGTAAACTACGTGTGTATGCAGAGAGGTAAAGGAAGACAAATGTTTCTAAAGGAAAATAAATGAGGAAGATTACATAATTGTTTTGAAATAATTGTCCTTAGCTACAAAAATCAATAACAAGGGTGCTACGAGTTCAAGGTTGGACAGGCAGTTGCTGGGCAGATGTCCTTTTAGAAATATTTTTTGTTTAAGGTTGCAATGACCTGTGTGTAAGGTTGTGGTTTTTTTCAGCCTTTTGTGATAGTTTTTGTTATCAGGCACACAAGCATGAGAACCCTGTTTTCATGGACTTCTCCAGCTCTAATTGTCAATTTTTGTTGTTGTTGTTGTTTTCCTTAGTAACATTAGTAACATGTTTTCATTAGTAACACCATTTTGATTCTGACAATTTTCACACCTTGATGAAGTTTAGTGACAGGCCCTTCAAGAGACAGAAGAAGAGGGAAATTCATTTCTGGGGACTGTAATTCTCCAGTGCTCTAGTCTCCATAAGAGATTTTGTGGTTATGCAAAGTGTCAGGGACTTAATGTTAGAGTTAGGGCTTTTTATGGGTCTTATATGGAGGAGTAATTATAATGCAAAGAAAGGACAGCTGTTGCTCCCAACTTTATTCTAGCATTCACTTACTACTGTTCATTTCAAACACAAGAAATAAATACCAAAAGGAGACTGAACTCACCCAGTAACTGGGTTCAGAATATTCACTGATGTGTCACTAGTGACACTAATCACAACTAATCTTGGCACTATGTGATAATTGTTAATACATAAGAAAAATCTGCAGCCAGTCATATTTTTTTTGCAAACCATATATCTGAAGAGGAGCTTGTATTTGAAATATATAAAAATTCTAACAGCTCAATAGTAAAAGGCAAATAATCCAATTTAAAATATGGACAAAGAAACCAAATAGGCAGTTTTCCAAGAAAGACATCTAAATGGCCAATAAATATATGGAAAGAATGCTCAACTTCATTAACCAGAGAAATGCAAATCAGAACCACAATGAGATACCACTTTATGCTCACTACAAAAGCTATAAGAAAAAATTACATAGTAATGACTATTAATGAGGATATGCATAAATCAGAACACACATACGGTGCTAGTGGGAATGTAAAATGGGGGAGCCACTTTGGAAACTAGTGTGGCATTTCTTCAAAATGTCAAATATAGAGTTAGCATATGACCCAACAGTTCTACTTCTAGATATATACCCATAAGAAATTAAACATAATTCCACCACAAGTGTATAAAAATGTATGTAAAAATATTATTCATAATTGTCAAAAGGTAGAAACTACCCAAATGTCAATCAACTGCCAAATGAATAAAGAAAATATAGTATATCCATACAATGGAATATTATTTCACCATTAAGAGAAACAAAATAGTAATACATGCTACAATGTAGATAAACCTTAAAAATATTATGCCAAGTGAAAGAAGCCAGTCACAAAAGACCACGTATTTTATGAGTCTAGTCATGTGAAATGTCTAGAATAATCTATAGAGGCAGAAAGTAGATTAATGTTTGCTTAGGGATGGGGGTAAGGGATGGGATGCGGAAATAGGAGAGTGAGAGCTAAAGGATATGGACTTGCCCAGGCTGGAATGCAGTGGCACAATTATGGCTCACTGCAGCCTTGACCTCCTGGGATCAAGCGGTCCTCTTGTCTAAGCCTGCAAAGTAGCTAGGACTACTAAAAAAATTATCCATTATTCCTGGCTACTTTTTTAGTGTTTTTTTGTTTGTTTGTTTTGGTAGACACAGGGGTCTCCCTATGTTACCCAGGCTGGTCTCAAACTCCTTCTATTTCTGCCTCCCAAAGAGCTGAGATTACAGACATGAGCCACTGGGTATGCCTGGAATTTTGTTTTGTTTTTTGAGGTGATGAAAACTAGCCAAACTTGACTGTGGTGATGGTAGCACATATCTGTGAATATAGTAAAAACCACTGAACTGTGTACTCTAAATGAATTGTAGTGTGTATGAATTATATCTCAATAAGGTTGTTAAAAACAAAAGAAAAACCTATAGCCACTCGATTAATTCCTAACATTTTCCAAATATTTGGCAAGACGGGTGTGGGATAGGAAAACAAAAATATATCCTGCCCGGCTAAGCAAATGCATTAAAACACAGCAATGAAAACAAGTAAAAGACTTCATGCTTTAGAAGTTAAAAATGACTCATGACAAGAGCTAATGTGATATGCCTTCATGTCAGATAATGAGAGACAGGAAAAAAATACGATGTACAGTATTTGATAAAGCACTGAACTCTAAAATATGGAAAGATTTCAGCGAGGGGGTTTGCGACAAGTATCAGAGATACAAAATGCAGAAAAATGTTGGATGCTACCAGATCCATCTTGATTCAGTAAACAGCTTCAGTCAATTGAATTCACTTGTGATGCTACACTAATTTTTTTTTGTTTTGATTCATTTAAAAACATGTTTTCTACACTCTCAATTAGGTTTTCAATGGGTATATAACAAAGTAAGAAGTCTGAGACCAGAAATTGTATTTAAAAAATTGAATGAGTTAATTCCCAGTTAATTACCAATAGAGGTATAACAATTTATTGGTAGAGTAGATAATATAAATGTTGAAATATAATGAATACTTCTCTGAACTTCATTAGGCTTTCATATACTTATTTCTATTTAATTATAACTAAATCACCACCATTTATTGCCAAGTTGGAAACACTTTCAAATAATAGCCTGGTTAATACTGAATTAAACTGCAATCTTACGGAAGTTCCTACATAAAAACAAATGAACTAACTAGGAATAAATTTGTCACTATAAGTACTAGCAGAGTTATTATAATTATATCATTATTGCAACATGATATATAGAAACATTTTAGGAATTGAAGGCTCAAAACAAAAAAGATATATTTAAAAAGTTAATTTTGCTGTCTTAATGGTCTCTCATATCAGTAAAATATTTTGCTTTGGATCATTTGTCATTTGAGCCATTTTATACTGGATTTTCCAGTGCCCTGACTGAAAGATATTTCAAGAGTTATAGATGAAAATGAAGCATAACTAATTTAAAATGATTGGATTAAAAACATTCATCTCCATAATGAAAATTACAGTATGCCATACTGGGCTGCAGAAAGTTTGCTTTCAATTTTCCCTGTTCAAAAATTTTACATTTGTGAAAGATTTGTTGCTTCAAGATTCTTAAGTTTCTGAAAAATACATGAATAAAAAAGTGATTGTAAATTGTTTCATTATGTTTTTTTAAATGTGGTATCTTTTGTACAGCAAACTTACTGTAGTGTAGCAAACACACTGCTGATCTCCAAGACTTACATTTTATGTAGTTATCCTTCCTTCATATTTTCAGAGGCATTTTTGCAAACTGGCCAAAATTTGCCCCTAGTGCACACACTTGAACACAAAGGGTATAGAATGAATTTTTGGCCTTTCTTTTTAATCCGTGCTGACATCTTAGCACAGTGTTGGGCACACTGTAAAATCTAAAACTAAATCTGTCATTTAACTGACCCTCAGTCATTAACAAGTGGAGCTTGAAAACAAACTGGTGCAGTTTCAAACTTGGCTGAAATGCCTGGGAAGCAGCAAAGCCTTTTTCACTCAAAGGCCTTTCAGAGACTTAGACGTCATAATCAGTACTAGGATTTCTCTATCTTCTTTGGCCTCTAGCAAGTGGAAACTTCTACTTTGTCATCTCTGTCTTGTGAGGTAGATATTCTTTCTTATTTTTCTAGATGGCATCCAGCTTGCTGTCCCAGTTAACTTCCCATTTTGTATCTGAATGTGACTGTTGTTGAGACCCCGATCCGCTAAGCTCCTTTCCTGCTTTCTCAGTTGGAATCCCCTGTTTAGAGACCCACTGCATTCCCTCAGGTTAAGAGTCCCTTCTGCTACCATCATCCTACTCCATCTCTTCAGTGTCTACTCAGCATTAAGCCAGGCTCCAACATACCAGCCAAAGGCAGAGTTACTACCTCTCCTCTCCTCTGCACTCTATAACACTGCACTTCTGAATCAAAGCAAGCCCATTTACACAATGTTGTAATATATACTTACACATAAATACTCTCAACTAGACTGTGAGGTCCTCTGGGCTCCTGGTTTTTGTGTTTGGTCATTTAGCACTATCAGGCCATTTTAATTGAGCCTGAGTTTAATATAGAAGGGGAAAAAAAGCAGGCAGAACATTTGACAGGCTTGGAAAAATACAAAGATGCAGGTAGAACGAATCTGAAAGTTTGCTTTTGTTAAGTATGTTTGATAGAATTCAATAGAGTAAAATGCAAAGGAGAGAAAGAGGTGTAGGAGCCAAATGAATTATTCTTATACTCTCTGAAGTTTTAATAGTCTTGGAAATAAACTTGACAGTAGACAGATTAACAGGAGAAAAGGCACACAAATTTATTTTGTGCATATGCACGGGAGTCCCACAAAATGTAAGACTCAAAGAAGGACCATATGGTTGAAGCTTAAATAGCACTTTGAGTTACAGAAAGAAATAGAGGCTTGAAGGGTCCTGCAGGGTAGTCGTGACAAGGTATGGGAGGATGAGGCGAGGAACCACACTGCAAACCCGAGTTGTCTTATTAAATGCAGATAAAGTCTGTTAGAATAATAGGTAAAAAGTCTGTTTGGTCATGGTGTTCTGGGCATGGAGGCCCTTAGTTTCCTCTCCTGCAATGCAAGTTAATGTTCTCTGGTTAATGCAGATTCCAGGGAGAGTGTTCATGGCAATCACATTCCTTCTGGAGAAGTTTCTTTAGTCAGATAAGGGAAATCTCAGAGAAAGCCCCTCTCCTTTGCAAGAAGAAGAAACTTTAATGACAAGCGTGCAGGGGAATGTCAGACAGACCTTGGCTCTGAGGTTGCTTCTTTAGTTCAAAGAACTCAGCATGTCAAAGCCCCATAATTTGGGATATTGTTTTCCAAACCCTAACAGGCACATGGGAAGCACTAAACAAATATTAAATAAATGTGTTGATAACGAAGGAATGAAGTTATTCATTTTAATTACAGAATGATTCCTTCACATTGTAATCCAAAAAAAAAAATCCAAAATATAGTACAAAGCAATTATAATTGTTAACGACGTGTGGATGTTTGTATTCCCTCCCTGATAACAACCTTCAATTCTTGGTCTTGTTTTATCTTTCTAGTAATTTCTATAACTTTCATAAATGGTTGTCTTTTTTCCTCTAATCTTCTCTTATTTTTGATTAAATGGATATTTCTATCAATATGCACCTTTAGTTTTATATGATAGTTATGTTTTTAGCTATTACAACATTTTTTCTCTTCAGATATAAATAAGGAATTGATGTCCAGTTGTGGAATTAATCACTCCCTTATCCCTACGCAGATGCTAGGAGATTCAGCAAGAAAAATAGAAAGAACAGACTTTAACACCTCAAATAGTGTGCCATTTAAAGGTAGTTTTCTATGTATCTTGAGGCATTGATGGCACCATTTGCATGTATACTACCTAAAACTTGGCAATTTGGATATCTCAGGTGTACATATTATTGCTTTTCTTCTTTGACAAAAAATAAAATGCAACATTCAGAATATAACCATCAGTTTGCTACCATCCATGCTTCTATGTCCTTTGGTTTTCCAAATTTCCTCAGCAGAATTTTGAGATAAACCTACTAAATAATGTATTTCACCTAACCTCAACCCCTTTTGTCTATCGGATGTATAAATTATTTTTGCTGTCTTAAAAAAGGATTCTATCATAGTGGAAAAAAATGAGCTGATTCTAAGAGAAAACAAAGGGTGAAGCACTGCAGTTATGAGCTGGAACTTTAGAATTCAATTCTTCTTTCCATTATTCTAGTTCAGTGACCTATGGAAAATTATTTCACCTCTTTTGGACCCCTTCTCATAAAATGAAAATAATAACACCTGTATCAAAAAGTTGTGGGAATTACATAATGCAAATAAAGAGAGCATTGTGAAAGCTATGTGGTAAGCCCTCATCGAATGTTAGTTACTATTTTGCTATTCTGAATGGCTCTCAGGGAGAGGCAACTGCCACAGTGTCACCTCATTTGCTGCTAAAAAGAAATTAAGAGCTAGAAAACAGGCTAGGGAATATTAAACACATTCCATTTATGAAAACATATTTGTTGGAATTTATTTTGATATAATTTCAAACTCAGAGGTTATGCTTTGGTTCTGTGTCCCCACCCAAATCTCACCTTGAATTGTAATAATCCCCTGTGCCAAGGGCCAGACTAGATAAAAGTAATTAGATCATGGGGGCAGTTTCCCTCATGCTGTTTTTGTGATAATAAATGAGTCTCATGAAATCTAAGGGTTTTATAAGGGTCTGGCATGTCCCCCATTTGCACTCATTCTCTCTCCTGACATGCTGTGAAGAGGTGCCTTCCATCATGATTATGTTTCCAGAGGCCTCCTCAGCCATACAAAACTGTGAGTCAATTAGACCTCTTTTCTATATAAATTACCCTGTCTCAGATATTTCTTCATAACAGTGTGAGAGCAGACTAATACAAAAAAATTGGTACTACAGAGAGTGGGATGCTGCTATAAGGATATCCAAAAATCTGGAAGTGACTCTGGGACTCAGTAACAGGAGGAGGCTGGAACAGTTTGGAGGGCTCAGAATAAGACTGGAAAATGTAGGAAAGCTTGGAATTTGCTAGAGACTTGTTGAATGGCTTCGACCAAAATGCTGATAGTGATATGGACAATGATGTCCAAGCTGAGGTGGTCTCAGATGGAGATGAGGAATTTCTTGGGAACTGGAGTAAAGGTCACTCTTGTTATGCTTTAGCAAAGAGACTGGCAGCATTTTGCCCCTGTCCTAGAGATCTGTGGAACTTTGAATTTGAAAGAGATGATTTAAGGTATCTGGCAGAAGAAATTTCTAAGTGGCAAAGCATGCAAGAGGAAGTTTGAAAAAATAAAATTTGGAAAAAATTGCAGCCTGAAGATGCAATAAAAAAGAAAAATCCATTTTCTGGGGAGAAATTCAAGCCTGCTGCAGAAATTTGCATAAGTAACAGGGAGCCAAGAGTTAATCACCAAGACAATGGGGAAAATGTCTCCAGGTCAGGTCAGAGACCTTTGCAGCAGCTACTCTTATCACAGGCCCAGAGGCCTAAGAGGGAAAAAAAAAATGGCTTTGTGGGCTGCGCCCAGGCCCACCCTGCTGTGTGCAGCCTAAGGACTTGGTGCTCTGCATCCCAGCCACTCCAGCCATGGCTAAAAGGGGTCAAGGTACAGCTCAGGCTGTGACTTCAGAGGGTGCAAGCCCCAAGCCTTGGCAGCTTCCACATGGTGTTGAGTCTGAGAGTGAACAGACGTCAAGAAGTGTAATTGGGTAACCTCTGCCTAGATTTCAGAAAATGTATAGAAACACCTGGATGTCCAGGGAGAAGTTTCCTGCAGGTGTGGGGCCCTCATGGAGAACCTTTGCTATGGCAGTGCAGAAGGGAATTGTGGGGATGGAGCCCCCACACACAGTCCTCACAAGAACACTGCCTAGTGGAGCTGTGAGAAGAGGGCCACCATCCTCCAGACTCCAGAATGGTAGTTCCACTGACAGCTTGTACTGTGCACCTGGAAAAGCCACAGACACAATGCCTGCCATGAAAGCAGCCAGGAGGGGAGCTATACCCTGCAAAGCTACAAGAATGGAGCTTGTCAAGACTGTGGGAGCCCACCCGTTGCATTAACACCATCTGGATGTGAGACATGAAGTCAATAGAACTTTAATGTTTAGTGACTGCCCTATTTAGTTTCGGACTTGCATGGGGCCTGTAGCACCTTAGTTTTGGCCAATTTCTTCCATCTGAAACAGGTGTATTTACTCAATGCCTGTACCTTCATTGTATCTAGGAAGTAAGTAACTTGCTTTTGATTTTATAGGTTAATAGGCAGAAGGGACTTGCCTTAACTCAGATGAGACTCTGAACTTGGAATTTTAGGTTAATACTGGAATGAGTTAAGGCTATGAGACTGCTGGAAGGGCATGAAATGTGAGGACATAAGATTTGGGAGGGTCCAGAGGTGGAAATTATATGGTTTGGCTCTGTGTCCCCACCCAAGTCTCACCTTGAATTGTAATAATTCCCATGTGTCAAGGGTGGCCACCAGGTAGAGTAATTGGATCATATGGGGGCAGTTTTCCCCAGGCTGTTCTCTTGATAGTGAGTGAGTCTCATAAGACCTGATGGTTTTATAAGCTTCTGGCATTTTCCTTGCTTGTATTCATTGTCTCTCCTGCTGCCCTGTGATGACATGCATTCTGCCATGATTGCAAGTTTCCTGAGGCCTCCCTAGCCATGCAAAACTGTGAGTCAATTAAATCTCGTGTCTTTATAAATTGCCCAGTCTCGGGTATTGCTTCATAGCAGCATGGGAATAGCCTAAGACAGTGGTAATTTGCAAGAACAGCACAAAGCACCGTCATATGTTTTACCAAAATTTGTCAATTATATGTTTTTCCCCAATAATTATGATTCTTTCTGTTTGTGTGTGTGTATATATCTATCTCTCTCTCTATATATACACACATTAATATATAAGTAATTATATAGAATATATATTTATACATTTGCATAGTTATATAATGATAGTTTAGAAAATACTTACGTAATATATTACTTCCAAACATTTTGAGAGTAAGTTGCATACGTCGTGATACATTATCTCAAAAAGCTGTAATGTGTGTATCCTAGGCATCTGATTTTTTATAACCACAGTATAATTATTAAAATCAGATTCTTTACCAATTACACAATGCTATTATCAACTCACAATCTGTATTCAGATTTTATCCAATATCCCAATAATGCCCATTATAGTATTTTAAATCTTTTTTTTCAATACCTCAGCCTCTCTTCATTTTTCATTTGTTTATAATGACATTGACATTTTTAAAGAGCAATGACTAGTTATTTTGTAGAATGTCATACAATTTGTTTTCTGCAGTTTTCCTATAATTAAATTAATGTTATGCAGTTTTGCAGAGAACACCAGAGAAGTGATGCTATTCCTTTTTTAGTGCATAATATCAAGAGGTACCTGATGTGAGTAGATTTCATTATTGATTATGGTAACTTTGATCACTAAGGCAAGTTGCTGTCTGCCAGGATCCTTCACTCTCCTATATTTAGCAAGTAATTTGTGGGCAAATAGTTTGAAACTTTCTTGTTCCTCATCCAACTTTTTCCTATTAGTATTAGCACTCATTTACAATTCTTGCTGAGATAAATAATTATTCTGATAACTGCAAAACTGTTCTTTTGTAATCTATGTCATTTCTTCTACCCTTACTGGAAGAGCTTTTCATTCTTCTCCATGTGGTTAATCCTTGTTTTATTTATATATTTATATGAACATGGGCATATATATTATTATTTTATTAAATGAATTATTAATTACACTCAGCATTAATTTTGTTGCCTAGATTGTCTGAAATTTGGTCAATGTGAGTCTCTTCAGGCTGGCTTCTGTTACTTTTTAACATGTTCTCACATTATTTGAACATTTCTTTTCATTCTCAATAAGAAAGATGTTTCTGCCTTATCTTATACTTTTCAATCACAGTTCTAGAATCAGCAATTTTTCCAAGGCAATCAGATTTCTTTTACGATAAATATTTTGGGACTAAGATCAGGGCTTTTGGTAATTATTACTGGAGTTTTCTTTTGTCTAGGCACTCTTAATAGCAGGGCTAGGAAGTAGTATCTGTGTGTGAATATAGATATATGCATGTATCTGTATCCTCTATATCTATCTTTGTATACTAAAACCACAAGTTGCTATTGATACCTCCAATTCTAATTTAATACCATAGATGTGTTAGGATGTAGAGAACAACACTCCAAAGTGCAGTGCTGTGGCATGTTGAGTACTTTTGTATTAAAAGAAGTTTAAAAACCTTAGAAGTAGCCTTTAGAACCAAAAACTTTGTTTTTGTAAACCACAAATACATTTATTCCTCTAGAAAGAGTATGCCATCTCTTCAATTTTAAAATATTATTATCAATTGTCTTTGGAGATTGCTTACTCTTCCTAAGCTGATTTTTAGAAATCTCAGTCTGAGCAGACCAATTCACCAGCACCATCAACCAGCGAGCTATAAAACTATCCTTTGCTAGAGCAAGAAGACACTTAAGATCTATTCAACAAAACAGCTTTAAGTGTTTACACAAGGGGCACTCACAGCCATTTGTCACACATTCCAGAGCTTCATAACCCCCTTTTAAATGGTCTAACTCCTAACCCAGTCTCTTTTTATACTCTGTAAACAAGGAATCACCCAAGTGAGATATTCCTTCAGAGTATTGTTGAAAATGGATCAAACGTGGAGAAAACCCAGATCCTTGTTCTCAAGTGTTGAAAATATTTTATATTAGCAAATAGAACAACCTTAGATATATTCTGTTATGTTCTAATGAGTTTGTATTCCCCCTTTTTGATAATGTCTTTAATTTGTTCTGAGACCTTTCTTTTATATCAATATGGTTCTATTATATCAATATGGTCATTTCATTCTATTGCTTTTAACTACTTTTGATACTCCAGTGGCAAACTCTTCTTTTGTACCCAGGCAAACAACCTTTTTATACTGTAGTGATGGAGATGCACTCTCGTACTTTCTCCTCAGGTAATTTTGACAGGTTATTTCTCTTCCTTGTTGAGTAAAAACTTTATCTTCTATTACAAAAGCTGTTTCACTATTAACTTTTCCTTGCCTGCATGCCAAGTTTGACTAGTTTGGCCTTGGGAATTGCCAAAGTCAAGCTTAAAATCCTGCAGGTAGGCCATGCAGAAGAATGCCACTGAGGTTGCTGCTGTAGGTGAAGTATAGAAAGCTCTCCTCATCCTGGCCTGGGACAGCCTCACAGCCTGCATGGGAGTCAAGAGTAGGGATGTGAGGAGTGAACAGAGAGCACTGTGCAGTGGCCAGTGACACCAGCCCAGTGACCACCACGCCACCAACTCAGGGTTAGTGGACTCTAGAACCAAGGACTTTCTAATCTTCTCATGTTTCTCCCTCTTCATCCTCTACAAGGGCAGGGAGAGGTTTGCTCTGGAAATTCCCTTCTCTGATGGCAACTTACAAAAGAAATGCAATTGTCTTAAACAATCTCCTCTCTAGGAATCTCATCTCACTGATATGTGGGAGCTAAGCTATGAGGATGCAAAGCCATAAGAATAATACAATAGACTTTGGGAACTTGGGGGGAAGAGTTGGATGAGGGTGAGGGATAAAAGAAAACAAATATGGTACAGTGTATACTGCTTGAGTGATGGGTGCACCAGGCTCTCACAAAACTCCACTAAAGAACTTATTCAGGTCACCAAATACCATCTGTACCCCAATAAGTTATGGAAAGATAAAATTTTAAAAATAATAATAATCAGGAAAGATAAACCCCTGAGTAGAGAAGAAACTAAAAGTTGTCACCACACCCAGAGATACTTTTTATCTATTCTTCTGAGGACAGCTCCGAATCATTTCTGAAGAGACTTTATCTGCAGAAGAAGACAAGCTTTGTTCACAGTGCAATTTCACCCCTCACCTTTCTATAACTTGTTGGTGTCATTCAGCTTCCAAAGACAGTAATTTACAAACTATTGCCTGCTCTTTGGGCCCATTCAATTCTCCTAAAAATTATTTACAACATCTCAAATTTATCTATATTTCCCCCACCTCCCTCTTCCCTCTGAATACGGTATATGAGCTTTAACCACCTGGCCTTTCTTTGAGACTCATTTCAGGTATTTGAAAAGGAAATAACAGCAACAAAATATAAACAGTTTTAAAAAGCATAATATTTTTCTTGACATGCCTCCATTCTAATTATCATAGTTATATTTAAATAAATGGCCCAAACACCTGAACAATCAAGGTAACTTTTAAAGTTATCTTATTTAATACTTTCATCAGAGTATTTTGGATGGTCTTGCATCACAGGCAAATTAAAATGGCTACAACATTTGCAAAACATAAGAAAATATGAGTCAGAAAATTATGAAATGCATATATATATATATTTCTGCTATTTTCCACATTTTAAAAAGCTAAATTGATGAGCTTAAATTTCTGAATTTCTGCTTTCTCTCTCTATCCCCAGTCACTTCATGTTATTTCGGGAAGGATTCAGAAACTGTTAAAATAAAATAACATGTTTACAGGCAATTATGTAATAACAACCACAGCTGTTCTTGACTCTTGGACAACTTTCTAGTCATTTTGCTATGATGTAATAGTAGAAGTGCTGACTACCATAGAGGTAGTTAAGTTACAGTGGTGTTTACTGATGTATTTATAGATGCATTCTATTCAGTTTTGAAACCACAGCAGAATTAACCAAACAGAAAGACAGAGGTCACCATAAAACACTTTAGTTTTCTCCAAAGAGAAAATTAAATGGCTCTTATCAATTACCTTTATCAACTAATTTGTCTAAATATCTGCAAGCAGACCTGAAGTCATTGATAGGGTCTGTGATTTGACGGGGAAGTAGGGAAGGTGATCCATTAGCTGTATCATTAGTATTTTCCAAGTGCACGTTTCTATAGAAGCACATTCTGGTATTGTCCACTCACAGACTCGGAACAAGCACAATACATCAGAGCAAGACTGCCTTTGAAACATTTTTCACTTTATTTTTCCTACATTACATCATTACTTTTTTCTTACAAAGGAAACTAAAATACTTTTTAACCTTCCTAACCAGCTTGACTTCCTCACTTCCAATGTATGTTATCTTGTTGAGTGCATCCTCTCAGACCTCTTTCTGTGCATTATATATGCACATACATGTCCACGCCAATATTCTTGCCATTATCCAGGTCACCTAAAGAATGAACAGCCTTGGGCAATTCAAATTTTGCACCCAGTCACATATCTTATTTTATCTAAGTTTATTTAAGTGAAGCATAACACACAGTTCAATGAGAAAGAAAATAAGCGACAGAGAGGTACCCTGTAGTTTGCAATGTGAAGAGTGTGGAAAGAGTGTTACACTTTATCCTTCCAATGGTGAGGGTTGTTGAGGTAGAAATGAGAGAGGTTGACATCCTTCCTCTTCCTTTTTTTTTTTTTTTTTTTTCAGTTTCTTTTCTCTATTTTTTTAAAACTCTAGTAGGGAACAACTTCAGAAAGCCAGGCTACTGCATCAATTTGAAACATTCTATGGATAAAAATGCTTCCAAAATAGATGGTAGATGGCAGTGTTTTCTGTCCCTCTTGATACTTGGTATTATTATTATTATTATAAATAGAAATACTATTCTCCACAGATGACAGCTAGCAATCCTGTCCAAATTTATTGTGAGCACAACAACTTTTAGTAAAATACTTGAACTCAAAGTTACATTATAAAACCCCCAGTGACTGCATATATGTCCAAATACATAGAGCATTCGCTAATGAGTGATCACATTTATCCTGGAGTTGTAGATGCACACTTCAAGTAATAAAATAGGATGATACCAGAAATGACATAAGATTTGAGTTGAGATTGTAACACCTGCCTTCATCTCATGGACACAGCAGCCCCAGAGATGCATCGCTCATGTTCAAGCTTCAGTTAGTGTCTTCCACACAGGCTATCTGAAGTGACAGTTGAGATCCTGGTAAAATGCAGCTTCTAATCACTTTGGCTTCTTTTGTTCACATTGGCACTGCAAGATTAAAGCTATTTTGTATTTCATTTAGAAAAAACAAAAGATAAAGACATTTCCAGAAGGCTCAGGTGCTCAAGGGCAAGGGAAGGTGCCTGAATCCACAGAGGGCTTGGCATAGCTCTCTTCTGCTACAATTGGCCTAGAACAACACAGATGGGTTGTGTGCGAGGTGACAAAATGCTTGGGAAGGTGAAACCACTCCTGAGGAGAGGAGCCAGCAATAGCAAATAAGGCATTAAATTGGCAAAGGAAGTGAAAATTTAAACTCACAAACTCTAACAGGAACCACTGAGTATATACAACTCCCAAGTGCCCAACAATTTTAGATGAGTTAAATGGTTTAGGAGTTTACAAAAAGAGGCAAATGTACTTACATGGATCAGTACTTAAATAATTTTCCTTTATTATTTTTAGTTTATTTTACTAAAGGTAATTTTATTTATAACCCCTCAATTTGTATAAAATAAAAACAAAAGACACCATCACAGAACAAACGACTATGGTTAACATGCAATATATTTTTAAATTAAAATTTATTTGGAGATAATTGTGGATTTAAATACAGTTGCAAGAAATCATCTGGAGAAATCTTGTGTATCTCTTACCAGCTTACTCAGTGATAACATTTTATAAAATTATAGTACAATATCATAACCAAGATATTGACATTGATGCTTTTAAGATACAGAAGAGTTCCATTACCACCAGGTTCCCAGATCATGTCATGCATTTTATTTTTTATTTTATTATTATTATTATTATACTTTAAGTCCTAGGGTACATGTGCACAACATGCAGGTTTGTTACATAGGTATACGTGCGCCCTGTTGGTTTGCTGCACCCATCAACTCGTCATTAACATTAGGTATTGATCCTAATGCTATCCCTCCCCCAGTCCCCCACCCCACAACAGGCCCAGGTGTGTGATGTTCTCCACCCTGTGTCCAAGTGTTCTCATTGTTCAATTCCCACCTATGAGAGAGAACATGTGGTGTTTGGTTTTCTGTCCTTCTGATAGTTTGCTCAGAATGATGGTTTCCAGCTTCATCCATGTCCCTGCAAAGGACATGAACTCACCCTTTTTTAAGGCTGCATAGTATTCCCATGCCATGCATTTTAAATCCCTAGATTAGCATATCTAAGTGTTAGCTTAATACATTAAATAACAAGCATGGTGCTGGGACCCATATAGACTATATTTGCTGTATTTAAGGAATTAAAAATACAATTGGGTAGAAGGTACATAAATTTGCCAAGAGTTGACAATATCTGGCACTGAGAATTATGGCAAGAATTAGTATTTAAGTATCAAACACTCTTATCATTTAATCTTCACAACTTTTCGAAATAAGTATAATTATTATTGCCATTGCACGGATGAAGGAAATGAAGTTCTTCAGTTAGGAATACATGGAGCTAGAATTTAAAGCTGTCTAGACAATGTGTCAAATGAGTTTGAGGAGGCAGAGATAGATCTCTGGGGAACCCTCAAGATGGATACCCAGAAATTGTGAAATTTGGATTCCACTCAAATTGTAATTAGAACCTAGTTAAGTAAGGAGTATCAAAATGTGCTTGACAAAAGGAAAAAGAGGAAGATGTGCAAGAAGAATAATCAATAGTAGTGACTAGAAGAATTTGTCTAGGGGCTTGAGCAGATTGGTAGAGTTGGGAGAAAAAGAAATAAAGTAACTATTCATGTTGATTCTATGAGCTTAATTAGAAAAGCCATTATATTAAAATGATGGTAATGCAATAAATAAATCAAGTAATAATAACATTTATTAATGTTGTGACAGACCACATTCTTGGCACTTTCTTTGTATTACTCCATTAATATTGCATGATAACCCTTTCCCTAATTTCCTCAAAAATGTTTACTGCCAAAACTATTGCTATTACAATAAGTAAACTATGTACTTTTCTTTAATTGAAATAGGCAAATAGTGACTGAAGCACAAAACAAAACAGATTCAACTCTCAGTCTTAGTTCATTCGGGCTGCTATAACAAAATACCATCCACTAGGAGGCTTATAAATGACAGACATTTATTTTTCACAGTTCTGGAGGCTGGAAGTCTGAGATCAGGGAGCCAGGACAGTCAGATTTTGGTGAGGGTTCATAGATGGCAGTTGATATGATATAGCTGTGTCCCCACCCAAATCTCATCTTGAATTTTAGTTCCCATAATCCCCAAGTGTCATGAAAGGGACCCAGTGGGAGGTAATTGAATCATGAGGACATTACCCCGATGCTGTTCTCGTGTTAGTGAATGAGTTCTCATGAGATCTGATGGTTTTATCAGGGACTTTTCACCCTTTGCTCAGCACTTCTCCTTTCTGCTGCCCTGTGAAGAAGGTACCTTTCTTCCCCTTCACCTTCCACCATGATTGTAAGTTCCCTGAGGTTTCTGGGCTATGCAGAACTATGAGTCAATTAAACATCTTTTCTTTATAAATTACTCAGTCTTGGATATTTCTTCATAGCAGTGTGAGAACAGACTAATATAACAGTCTTCTTGTGTCCACTCTTGGCAGAAGAAATGAGGCGCTCTCTGTGGTATCTTTTGTAAAAGCACTAATCCTTTCAGTAACCCTCATGACCTAATGACCTTCCAAAGGCCACACCTTCAAATACCATCACACTAGGGATTAGGTTTGAACATATGAATATTTAGGGGACATAAACATTCGGTCTATTGTGTTCAGTTATTCAAGATCTGATATTTCAGGTATTCTTGGCTCCAAACCCATTGCACTGCTCACTTGCACTCTCCCCAAATGAGTGGGAATTTTGAGATGGGGGTAAGAGGAGATCATTATGTAAATATGCTTGTGGTCATTGCTAGGACTAACATGTAAGAATTTTATTTTTTACTTCCTCCCTCTGCACTACCATATTTTTTGCAAGCTATTTAGTAATGTTTGGTTTATCAATGCAATTGTTTTTCTTATAATAGACATGTTGGTGCAATTACTTGATATTACAAAAGGTGTCAAAGGAAAGTTTATAGACCACTAAGTCACAACTACCACCTGGCAGCAGACAATTTTAAGACTTCATAGATTTTAAGATACACCTGAATTTAGGAAAGGTTTGAGTGTGGGGAAAAAAATCTGTCTTGGAATCAATACAAGTAATTAAGGGCTAATAACTATTAAGCACTTATACCTTTGCTTTTATATTCATTTTGTCTCTCATCTAATTATAGAAGCTTAGGAACTAATCCTCCCCCAAACCACAAAAATGGTCTTAGTATGCACTTTCTTGAATGCCTGACCTGTCCTCTCACCTACTTCTCCCCAGACATTTCTTCCTCCATCCTTAAATCATTTCTCCTAAAATTCACATTCACGCATATCTCTTTGGACCAACTTTTTAAGCTAGTCTCTAAAAGTTCAATTCCCTGAACTACTGCTTCTGTTCTGGTGTGTCTTTAAAGTTGCTCATGCATTCTAAACTTTGCTCTGTTCATGGAATATAGCCTCAGGGGCAAGTTGTACTATTTCCCAGAGTCAAACTCTGCCCTTCAACAAAAGTCAACAGGTACCTACAAACTCCTCAGGATACACTTTAGCAGCTAAATTTTTTTCTACCACCTTATAGGTAGCTGTAATTCCAGTTTGCAAGCCATGCTTTTTTATATAAAAGTGCTATTAGAAAAGAACAGAATTTAGGAAATAAAGTTAGTAAACAGTTTTTTCAATGACCCAAGACAGGGCCAAGGTGGTAAATTTGAGGGTTGCCAGAAGAAATCCCCCAGGGGGGGAAAAAATATTTTCCCCAGACAAAAGAAAATGTCTGAAAGCATTTGATTACAGAATTGAAATAACCATTACCAAGGCTCATTAAGGCCCCTTTCTTTCATGGGAGGGTTGTTAGGTAAGAAAAAAGATGCCCAGTTAAATTTAAATTTCAGATAAACAATGGACAATTTTTAGTGTAGGTGACTTATTGTTGTTTATATGAAATTCAAATTCAGCTTGATGATCTGCGTATGTTTTGCTAAATCTGACAATCTTACCCTAGATATAAGAATGATACACTCTCCAGCCCCAGAAAACAATAGGTCAGGTGACAAATACTGGCTAGAAAAATGTCAACAGAAGTAGTATGTCAACTCCAGACTGAGGTTGTGAAAAGCCCCTAGAAAATCTTCCAGCCCTTTCTTCCTCTTCCATGGCAAACACAAAGGTTTCATATCGTATCTTATGATAAAAAAAGTATATTTATTAACTGTTATCCTCTCTTTGCGTGCCTTAAATATATATACATCTTAAAATAAATGAAAAATGCTCAACTTATCTAATTTTTACCTTCTATTTGTCTGACTTATCTTTATTACCTTGAATTTTCTTCTCTGAATTCCCACTTGTAGGCACTGACCCACTGGCTTAATGTTGATCCAGCAGTATAGATCATTACAGATTTCCTATCTCAAAGCCAGGGAAACAGGGAAAGACTTATGCATTAAAACCAATGGGTCTGATTAACAACATCCATCAAATCCACAGAAGTCCCCTCCTCAGAGTGATATAAACTTAAGTTTCTTTTTTGCTTATCAAGTATGTTTAATATAAAGTTTGACATAAAATATTAGTCATTCAGAGCAAAGCAATACTTTAATTATAAGACAAAAGTAGTACAAAATAAATAAAACTAAAGAAGTCATACTTGGCATGGAATATATAAAGTATTATTTGTTGACTAAATACCTGACTAAATTAATGAATCAACAATGAAGGAATAAAATAAAATAAGCCTACCTCGTAGAATTAACCTTTTCAGGACTGATTTCTTATGCCCATTACAAAAAAAAATATATTAACCCATAGAGGCAGAGGGTAGAAGGATGGTTACCAGAGACTGAGAAGGATATTGAGAGCTTGAGGAGGAGGTAGGGATGGTTAATGTGCACAAAAAAAATAGAATGAATAAATAAGTCCTAGTTATTTGATAGCAAAACAGGGTGACTATAGTCCGTCATAATTTAATTGTACATTTTAAAATAACTAAAAGAGTATAATTGGCATGTTTGTAATACAAAGGATAAATGCTTGGGGGGCATTGATACCCCATCTTCCACGATGTGATTATTACACATTGCATGCCGGTATCAAAACATCTCACATACCCCATAAATATACACACCTACAATGTACCCACAAAAATTAAAAATTAAAAATATATTTTAAGCTAATACTATATATTCAACTTTATTGACCTACTGTAGAGCAAAGGCTGGGATTAGGGAATAATAATTAAAAATTAGTAAATTGAAATAACACCAATCCTAAGCTTTCCCCTGATTAAGGCTGAATAGAAATATCGTGAACTTTGGAGAGCTTAGCAAAGATGTAGTTTGTTTTATAGTTAGAATTGCACCAGTTGTGACGGACAATACTTTCTTTCATATTCAGTACCAGGACTTGAAGCATGACCCATTCCTGAAAAGCCGATATGGCTTGGTGGTTAATCTAGGGACATATGTTAAATACTACAGAACGGCTCTAAAAAGGAATTTCTGAGAATTTAGGTTTTGATTTCCAGCCTAAAGATCAGATTTATAACTTGAAAATACAAGTTGGAGTGAAGTAAAGGCAGCAAATTGAAGTTAAAAACTCAGCATTATGAGAGCCAGGCTGCCAAGTCCAGTATAAACGCAGAAGAGATGGGGCAGAGCTGTGGTTCAGACTCATAGGCCTAAAGAAGGCAGGGCCCCAACTGCGATAAAAGGGTCTCTGGTTCCCTGTGCCGATGGTTTCTGTGCCAATCTAACTCTGCCTCCTCCGTGTATGGCTGCCTGCCTTTTTGATGAGCTTTAATAGAAGTAAGTTATATTTTAAAAAGATGGCCATGGCAAAGCTATACTAGAACCCTTGGCAATGTTTCTATTCTAAACATAGAACATATATTGAGTTCAGAGTCACACTGTGACATACAGTGGCATATCTGCCTTCATGTACTCCTTCCTGTATTTATAATCACATTAATATATAGAATATATGAATACCATATTTTAAAGCATTTTCTTCAATATAAACCTTCAGTTTTTCTGAAAAAACTAAAAAGAAATGGAAACACTTTCAAAGACTCCTAAGTATATTGTGGGCTTGCAAAATAGCACCTCCTAAGCCTGATGGATGTCAGCCCTGATTGTTATTCCCTGAATGCACTCCTCTTCTTTAGGATATTCATCTAAACCAGGAAATTATTTTTCCTTGCAGAGACCCAATTAAATAGTAAGTTTCTTTAACATATCTAGAAGGGCGATTGGTGATGCCAGTGTGTTAGGGGTGGGAAGGATGAGTGTCTTTGGCAGGAAATTCACTGTGTTTAATGAGTCTGCTTTCTAATTGGAGATCGAGACTTACACACAGACATATATTCAAGATAGTGGTGAATCACTAAATTTGTAAAAAATATAGAAATGTGATTCTCTAAATATCTTTCATGCTGACCACAATATGGATTATTATTATAATTTGAAAATATGCTGGGTTATTGGAAGTAAGAAATTTCATATCAAAGGCCTCTAATCCTTTAAATTTTACTTGATGTTGAGTCTCCGTACTCTACCTAGAAAGGTTAATCTCCAACGCTGTAAGCAAATGTTTACTGACTTCTTCCACATGAGTTGAAGAGAGGCACAAGGAATACAACTGGCATTGACCTTCCAGTATAAAGTGGAGGTCCCCTGTCTAGGATTGTAATTAGGATTATCTTTGCCCTGGGTCCTTATCTCTCACCACAGACTCTTCTTAAATAGGAAACTCAACTATCTGGAGGACTACTCAAGTCATTACTCAAAATTTGTTGTCCATCCCTGGGTAATTCCCTGATTAGACAATTGGATGAGTGCCAGCTGTTTTTGACATGAGTTTATTTGATAATTTATTCTTTCCTCAAAATCTTTCAGAGTATTATTTGACATAGCTTGGTAGGTTACATATGCTAGTGGTTCTCAGGTTTAGAGGTGGGGACTAGTAGCAGATATATTTTTGAAGTATTTTTTAGAGTTCTTCTCTGATCCAAACCGCTGCTGTGCACCCAACAAATAATGAGATGGGCATGGTGAAAAGGAGTCCAATATTTATTAATACACTGGCAAGGTGCTTTACACTACAACACTTCACCTCTTATGATATTTTTATGAGGTAATTACCTCTATCCTACTGAGAGTACTGAGCTTGAGTGTATTCATGAACCTTGCTCCAATTAATATAGCAAATAAAGGAGAGAGTTGGATATCGATCGAAATTTAAGAGTTAAGAGCACACACTCTAAGCCACACTGTTTGGCTTCAAATTTAGGCTCCATCATTGATTTGCTTTTCTATTATTTTTGCCTTACTCATTCTTTCTAGCTACACTGGCATCTTTGCTGTTTATGACTCCTGTCTTCCCTTTCTGCACTTTCCGTTCCCTCCTTCTGGAACACGTTCTCAGTAGATATCCTCATGATTTATTCCCTTATCACATTTATGTCTTTGGTCAACTGTCAGCTTCATTTTGTCTATCAATAAATATTTATGGAGCACCACTATGAATTGAGCATGGTTCTAGGAACTTCAAATAAAACAGAAAACAAAACAAAAATGTTCCTGTCTTGATAAAGCTTACCTGCTAGCAGCAAAGGGGAAACAATGGCTGATTAAAAAGTAAGTCAATTATATTATATTAGAAGATGAGCATGCTGTGAGAAAAGAGAGACTGTGGGAGGTCAGGAAAATTCATTATCAAATCACGCAATAATAATGGGACTTGTGGAGATGTCAACAGAGATTGGATAGAGGGTTTGAGGGAAATTACACTAGGATTTAGGACTTCAAAGGTTTTGGGCAAACTGATGGAATTATGAAATTTTCAATAATTTATCTTGGTTTCTATAGTTTTTCAAGCCCCTAAGACCTCCCCAGCCATGCCACCAAGGCTCTGAACTTTTCCAGAGAGGAAGTTCAGATACCCTTTAACCTAAGGTTACAAAGTCTTAAACTATGTGTAAAAGAAATTAGCTTATGTATGGTTTGATTCCCTTCCACTCAGAAAAATTAAGGGAGCAATGAAAATAATCTTGTTTAAGTAAGTTGCAAATGTTTAAAAACTACCCACAATCCAGCAGTTAAGATAATTTTTCCCATATGAGGTGAGCAATAAGCACTGTTCATAATAATGCACATTTAATGTGAGCTGGCTACTGCTATGAGGGTCTCATTTTATGTGTAGGTGTACTTGTGTGTAACGAAAGAGCAAGGAAGCAAAAATTAAATACACTGTGACATTAAAGATATTTCTGGAGTCATATATTGGTAAGAATTAAAGTACAGTAATTCTTGCAAAAACGAGTTAATGCTTTTGTAAGTAATTTGTTCTCAAATGAACATGAAGACCTAACATTCAGTATCTGCAACCAGTTTTGGCTAAAAACACATTTTTGAATGTGTAATCCAGTATACCTATATTAAGTTCTGCTTGAAGAGTTTCATTCTACTGTGATACAGGCAGGGATACCATGAAAATAATTAAAAGTAGAGGAAAAGTATAAAAAATTACTCAGGGCAGGGTATGGTATCTCACACCTGTAATCCCAGCACTTTGGGAGGCTGAGGTGGGTGAATCACCTGAGGTCAGGAGTTCGAGACTAGCCTGGCCAACATGGTGAAACTCCCTCTCTACTAACAAATACAAAAATTATCTAGGTGTGGTGATGGGTGCCTATAATCTCAGCTACTTGGGAGGCTGATGCAGGAGAAATGCTTGAACCCGGGAGACAGAGGTCACAGTGAGCTGAGATAAAACTGTCTAAAAAAAAATTACTCAGCACATTTAGTTTATCTTTCACATTTTAATAGTTAGTTCTTTGTAAATGATTTTCTACTGTAAATTTTTCTTCAGTAACTGTATCACAATAGAAACAGCAAAGAACTGTTTTGCCCCTTATTACCTGTACCATAATTCTGAACAGGTGTAATGTAAATTCTGTCTTATAATATCCTTTCAATATGTGTTAATTCCATCATCCTTAATAATTCCGTCATCCTTATTCCTCTACTTGAGAGTGCTGTATTAGCAGCCTGGCCCACAGTCAGATGACACCATTAAACAGAAGGATTCTGTTTCACTCTGCCCTCAACTCTCTACTCCCCTCCCTAGTACCCTTCCCCTATCTCAATCAACCAGTCTAAAAATCAGAGGTACTTTTTGTACATAATGCCAAATATTGAAATAGGTTTTTTATTGATTTGTCACGCATTAGGTAATTTTCTAGGACACTGAGTTTATGAGGTATTTAAGCTTTGTCTATATCATTTCAAAGAATATATGGGAATAGATGTTTTTGATTAAATTAATTAGATATTTGGGCAAATTATATGAGGGATTGTCTGAAAACTCCTATGGGTATTTTTCTTTCCAGAGATTAGCTCTGAACAGCAGTCTATCTGTGCCCCACTAAAAACGCAAAATTTTTTTCATATTGCAAGTTTCCAAAGACTGTTTCTGGAGATATTTTGTTAGAGGAATATCCTCCCTCATTGTATTGACATAATATTTTGCTCACATATTTATTGTAGTCTATTGGACATAATTTAAGACCGTTGGAGTCAGAATGAGATATTTTATATTCATATCACCAGCGACTCTGGAAGTGCATGTCACATAGTAGGAATGCAAAAAATGGCTGTTAAAATAAATTGGTATTTTTATGAACTCTATCCAAATATTTTATAAGTTTCATAGTGATGTCCATTACTGGAAAGACAAAATCAATGCAGTGCTCACACAAGCAAATCAGTATTGAGTGGTGAGAGAAGACTGGTTTCCTCTCAGCTCTTTGAGACCCAAATTGATCCTCTCTCTTGGAAAACCACTATGTTTTTGTTGTTTTTTGTTTGTTTGGTTGGTTGTTGTTGTTGTTGTTGTTGTTTTTGCCTTTTTTGTCCAGCTTTTATTTTAAGTTCTGGGTTACATGGGCAGGGTGTGCAGGTTTGTTGCATCAGTAAATGTGTGCCAGGGTTTGCTGCACAGATCATCTCATCACGTCGGTATTATGGCTATTAACTATTAGTTATTCTTGATGTTCTCCCTTTGCTTCCTGACAGGCCCCAGTGTATGTTCTTCCTCGCCATGTATCTCTGTGTTCTCGTCATCTGTTCCTGCATTAGTTTGCTGACAATAATGGCTTCCACCTCCATCCATGTCCCCGCAAAGGACATGATCACATTCACTTTCATGGCTGTGTAGTATTCCATGGCATATGTGTACCACATTTTATTTATTCAGCCTATCATTGATGATCATGTGGATTGATTCCATGTCTTTGCTATTGTGAATAGTGCCGCATTGAACATACACAGACATGTATCTGCATTATATAATAACTTACATTCCTTTGTGTATATACCCTGTAACAGGATCGCTGGGCCAAATGGTATTTCTAGATATTTGAGGAATCACCACACTGTCTTCCGTGATAGTCAAATTAATTCACACTCCCACCAACAGGTTAAAAGCCTACATTTTCCTCTGCAACATCATCAGCATCTGTTGTTTCTTGACATTTTAATAACTGCCATTCTGACTGGTGTGAGATGGTATCTCATTGTGGTTTTGATTTGGATTTATCTAATGATAAGTGATGTTGAGCTTATGTTTGTTGGCCACAAGAATGTCTTCTTTTAAGAAGTGTCTGTTCATGTCCTTTGCCCACTTCTTAATGGGATTTGTTTTTTCCTTGTATATTTTGTTTAAGTTTCTTGTAGATGCTGGATATTAAACTTTTTTCAGATGGATAGATTGCGAAAATTTTCTCCAGTTCTGTAGGTTGTCTGTTCACTCTTATGATAGTTCAATTTTCATGTAATTGTGTGGTTTTGTATTTTTTGCTGTGCAGGTCTTCAGTTTAATTAGATTGCATTTGTCAATTTTTGTTTGTGTTGCAATTCCTTTTAGCATTTTTGCCATGAAATCTTCGCCCATGCCTATGTCCTGAATGGTATTGCCTAGATTTTCTTCTACAGCTTTTATAGTTTTGAGTTTTATATTTAAGTCTTTCTTCTATCTTATTTTTTCTATAAAGTGTAAGGAAGGGGTCCAGTTTTAATTTTCTGCATATCGCTAGCCTATTTATTAATAAGGAGTCCTTATTAAGTAGGGAGTCTTTTCCTCGTTGCTTGCTTTTGTCAGGCTTGTTGAAGTTCAGATGGTTGTAGGTGTGCAGTCTTGTTTACGAGTTCTCTATTCTGTTCCATTGGTATATGTGTTTGTTTTTGTACCAGTACCACACTATTTTGGCCACTGTAGCCTTATAGTATAGTTTGAAGTCAGGTAGTGTGATGCCTCCAGCTTTTTTTTTTTTTTTTTTTTTTTTTTTTGCTTAGGATTGTCTTGGCTATTTGTTTTTTTTCTGTTCTCATATGAATTTTGAAATAGTTTTTTCTCATTCTGTCAAGAATGTCAATGGCAGTTTAATAGGAATAGCATCAAATCTATAAATCATTTTGGGCAGTATGGGCATTTTCACAATATTTATTCTATCCATGAGCATGAAATATTTTTCCATTTGTTTGTGTCCTCTCTGATTTCCTTGAGTATTGGTTTGTAGTTATCTTTAAAGAGGTCCTTCACATCCCCGGTTAGCTGTATTCCTAGGTATTCTATTCTATTTGTAGCAGTTGTGAATGGTAATGCATTTACGATTTGCCTCTCTACTTGCCTGTTATTGGTATATAGGAATGCTAACAATTTTTGCACACTGATTTTGTATCCTGACTCTTTGCTGTAGTTGCTTATCAGCTTAAGGGTGAGATGATGGGGTTTTCTAGATACAGCATCATGTCATCTACAAATTAAGATAATTTGACTCCCTCTTCTCCTATTTGCATACGCTTTATTTCTTTCTGTTGCCTAATTTCCCTGGACAGAACTTCCATTACTATGTTGAACAGGAGTGGTGAGAGAGGGTATCCTCTTCTAGTGCCAGTTTTCAAGGGGAATGCTTCCAGCTTTGCCCATTCAGTATGATATTGGCTGTGGGTTTGTCATATATGGCTCTTATCATTTTGAGGTTTGTTTCAATACCTAGTTTATTGAGAGTTTTTAGCATGAAGGGATGTTGAATTTTATTGAAGGCCTTTTCTGTATCAACTGAGATAGTCATATTCATTTTGTCTTTCTTTCTTTTTATGTGATGGATTATGTTTCCTGATTTGTATATATTAAACCAACTTTGCATCCTGGGGATGAAGCCAAATTGATTATGGTAGATAAGATTTGATGTGTTGCTGGATTCAGTCTGCCAGTATTTTATTAAGGATTTTTCATCGATGTTCATCAGGGATATTGGCCTGAAGTTTTCTTTTTTGTTGTATTTCTGCCAAGTTTTGATATCAGGATGATGCTGGCTTCCTAAAATGAGTTAGGGAGGAGTCTCTCCTTTTTGATTGTTTGGAATTGCTTAAGTAGACAAGGTACCACCTCTTCTTTATACCTCTGGTAGAATATAGCTGTGAATCCATCTGTTCCTGGGCTTTATTTTCGTTGGTAGGCTATTTATTACTGCCTGAATTTCAGAACTCATTATTGGTCTATTCAGGGTTTCAATTTCTTCGTAGGTTCAGTCTTGGGAGAGTGTATGCTTCCAGAAATTTATCCATTTCTTTTAGATGTTCTAGTTTATGTGCATAGATGTGTTTATAGTATTCTCTGATGGTTGTTTGTATTTCTGTGGGGTCAGTGGTAATATTCCCCTTATCATTTCTTATTGTGTCTATTTGATTCTTCTCTCTTTTCTTCTTTATTAGTCTAGCTAGCAGTCTATCTATTTTATTATTTTTTTTTTTCAAAAAGCCAACTCCAGGATTCATTTATTAAAAACAAGGGGTTTTTGTGTTTCTATATCCTTCAGTTCCACTATGATCTTGGCTATTTCTTGTCTTCTGCTAGCTCTGGGGTTTGTTTGCTCTTGGCTCTCTAGTTCCTTTAGTTGTGATGTTAGGTTACTGATTTCAGATCTTTCTAGCTTTTTGATGAAGGCATTTAGTGCTATAAATTTCCCTCTTAACACTGCTTTAGCTGCATCCCAGAGATTCTGGTATGTTTTCTCTTTATTCTTATTAGTTTCAAAGAACATCTTGATTTTGGCCTTAATTTCATTATTTACTCAGGAGTCATTCAGAAGCAGGTTGGATGTTCAATTTTCATGCAGTTGTGTGGTTTTGAGTGAATTTCTTAATATTGAGTTCTAATTTGATTGTGCTACTGTCTGAGAGACTATTATAATTTCAGTTCTTTTGCATTTGCTGACTGGTGTTTTACTTCAGATTATGTAATTAATTTTGGCATAAGTCACATGTGGCACTGAGAAGAATGTATATTCTGTTGTTTTGGGTAGAGATTTCTGTAAGTGTCTATCAGGTCCACTTGATCCAGAGCTGAGTTTAAGTCCTGAATATCTTTGTTAATTTTCTGTCTCAATGATCTGTCTAATATTGTCAGCGGGGTGTTAAAGTCTCCCACTATTATTGTGTGGGAGTCTAAATATCTTTGTAGGTCTCCAAGATCTTGCTTTATGAATCTGGGTGCTCCTGTGTTGTTTGAATATATATTTAAAATAGTTAGCTCTTCTTGTTGAATTCAATCCTTTACCATTAGGTAATGCCCTTGTTTGTCTTTTTTTATCTTTGTTGGTTTAAAGTCTGTTTTGTCAGAAACTAAGATTGCAACTCCTGCTTTTTTCTGTTTTCCACTTGTTTGGTAAATTTTCCTCCAACCCTTTATTTTGAGCCTATATGTGTCTTTGAATGTGAGATGGATCTTTTGAAGACAGCATACCAAAGGTTCTTGACTCTTTATCCAGCTTGCCATTCTGCGTTTTTTAATTGGGACATTTAGCCCATTTACATTTAAGGTTAATATTGTTATGTGTAAATTTGGTTCTGTCATCATGATGCTAGCTGGTTATTTTGCAGACTTGTTTATGTGGTTGCTTCATAGTGTCACTGGTCTGTGTGCTTACATGTGTTTTTGTAGTGGCTCGTAACAGTTTTTACTTTCCATATTTAGTGCTTCCTTCAGTAACTCTTGCAAGCCAGGCCTGGTGGTGACACATTTCTTCAGCATTTGCTTGTCTGAAAAGGATCTTATTTCTCCTACACTTATGAAGCTTAGTTGGGTTGGATATGAAATTCTGGGTTGGAAATTCTTTTCTTGAAGAATGTTGAACATTGGCCCCCACTCTCTTCTGGCTTGTAGGGTTTCTGCTGAAAAGTCTGCTGTTAGCCCAAAAGGCTTCCATTTGTCAGTGACCTGGCCTTTCTCTCTTGGCTGCCCCTAACATTTTTTCTTCATTTCAACCTTGGAGAATCTGAGGGTTATGTGCCTTGGGGTTGATCTTCTCATGGACTATCTTACTGGGGTTCTCTGGATTTCCTGAATTTGAATGTTGGCCTGTCTTTCTAGGTTGGGGAAGTTCTCCTGGATGATATCCTGAGGTATGTTTTCCAAATTGGTTTTGTTCTCCCCATCTCTTTCATGTACCCTAGTCAGTTGTAGGTGTTGTCTTTTTACATTATGCCGTATTTCTCAGAGATTTTATTTCTTCCTTTTTATTCTTTTCTGCATGTTTTATTTCAGAAAGATAGTCTTCAAGCTCTGAGGTTTTCTCCTCTGCTTGGTCTAATCTGCTATTGATATTTGTGATTGCATTGTGAAGTTCTTGTGTTGTGTTTTTCAGCTCCATGCAGTCAGTTATGCTCTTCTCTAAACTGGCTATTCTGGTTATCAGTTCCTGTATTGTTTTATTATGATTGTTAACATCTTTGTATTGGGTTAGAACATGCTCCTTTAGCTCAGGAAAGTTTATTATTACCCACTTTCTGAAGCCTACTTTTGTCAGTTCAGCCATCTCAGCCTCAGCACAGTTCTGTACCCTTGCTGGAGAGGTGTTGTGGCCATTTGGAGGAGAAGAGACACTCTGGCTTTTTCAGTTTTTAGTGATTTTGCATTCACTTTTTCTCATTTTTGTGGGCTTATCTATCTTTGATCTCTGTGGTAGCTGACCTTTGAATGGGGTTTTTGTGGGGTCCTTTTTGTCAATGTTATTATTGCTTTTTGTTTGTTTTTAACAGTCAGGCCACTCTTCCATAGGACTGCTGCAGTTTGCTGGGGGTCTGCTCCAGACTCTAGTTGCCTTGGTCCCTCCTGTACCTGGAGGTATCACCAGTGAAGCCTCTGAAATAGCAAAGACAGCAGCCTGCGGACTGCAGTTGCTTCTAACCAGTCATCTTGGCCAACCATTACTGTATTTTTTTCAGTTTTAGAGAGGTCTATGCCTTTATTTCAGACTTAGCCATATATCTCAACCTATATTTTTATTTAGATTGCAGGGAAAATGCTAACAAATGATTTTGAATAAGTGTGAAATAATCAGTAGAGATAGTAAAAAAATATAAATTAAGGGTACTGCATAATCAAATACATGATTCTGACAAAGTCAACCCTTACAAGAATTCTGTCATCACAAAGCATATTTCCATGGTCTCTGGGACCACCTTCCTCTCTCAGAACTCACTGCTTCAGGTTTGCAGGGCTCTAATAGTGTGTTCCAAAGATATTGAAATATTGGAAACTATAGTTTTCCAATACTTAAATTGTTCATGATCTTTCAAAACAGACAACTTTGGACTTCAGTGACGTCAGGTCCTATTTTTTGTTTTTTTGGCATACTAAAAATTTTTAATTATTTTAAAAACAGAAAAGCTTAGAAACTAAGAGAAAAGAGTAAATAGTAAACAAATCCATGTTATTTCCTTCCACTTCAGATTTATTAGTGATTGGATTTGAAAATTATTTACTACGATGTAGGAGGAAAGTCAGACATATTTGGAAGGCTGCTTTTAAAACATAGAAAACTATATAAGGAGGCAAAATGGGAGAATATTTGTTAAGTCATCCCAACTTGTCAATGATTGTTCAGCATAAACAAACAAAAAATAAATAAGCTTAGATTTGGCCACTTTCCTGCTCTTGGGCATTAAATGTCAGTCATTTTTCACTGAGTTGTAGTCAACAATATGTAAGTCACACCAGCTGCATATATCTAGCCATGGCACTTATTTTCAGAGTCTAATTAGTCAAATTCTGATGGATTTCCTGAGTGCTATGGGTAACACAGAAACTCAGGTAAGAAAGATAGGCTATGTGCATGCTTGTTTGTTTGTTTGCTTCTTTTAATTGGCATGGTATGGCAAAACATCAAATAAACTCACCCATAATTTTAGTTAAATGCTTTTTACCATACCTCTTTCTAACATAAATCTGCATGTTCTGCTTAGTACTGCAAATAAAATCACCCATAATTCTAGTTAAAAGCTTTTTAGTGTACATCCTCCTACTACATGTTACTTAATATTCTTTAGTATAATTAAAATCTAATTCCCTTTGAAAATTTTGGACTACTTTACTACTTCCTTGTCCATTTTGTTATCCAAGGTGAAATAATATTAGAAAATTATTTTCCAAAATCTCTTCCTCCAAAAGGAGAGAAAAAGTTATTTGATTGTTGAGGATGCAAAAAGGCTCTTTCTGGTTCTGCTTCCCTGCAGCCCTCAGTTTACCCAGCCCCTCTAATGGAAACATGCTTGGGTAGGCATTCACTATTCTCTACACATCCCAATGCAGGCAGCAGTCCCAAAATTAAAGCTAAGGAACTACATTAAGAAATATAGTTTAGACACAGATTTAAACCACATCACTCAATGCAGCTTTTTTTCTTTTTTAGTTGAAGCTGGTATTTTAACCTACATTATATACAATTTGTGTCATGTTCTCAATTGATTTGGAACACAGGGGGCTAAGAAGGGGTGTTTGTAATTATTACCCACAAACCACAATAGAAATTGAAAAAAAGTAATCCCATAGGCATATAACTTAAAAATCACAGGATAAAATCATATGTGTACCACCCTTGCAAAGAACAGGCATCACATGTTTTTATTTATTTATTTGGATAGAACTGCATTGTTCAATATACTAACCTCTAGCCACAAGTGGCTATTGAGTATTTCAAACATGAATGCTACGAAGTGAGATGTGCTGACAGTGTAACACACACCAGATTATAAAAACTTGGTTAATAAAAAGTAAAATAGCTCAGTAATTTTTATATTGGTTACATGCTGAAATGGCAATATTTTAGATATGTCAGATTAAATAAAATCTATTATTAAAATTAATTTTACCTGTTTCTTTTTTTCTTCTATATTGTAGCTGCTAGAAAATTAAAAATTCAAAATGTAGCTTACATTTTATTTCCATTAGACAGCCTGAATTACAACAATGGAGAAAATGCAATTTCCTTCAATTTGTGTATAATGTCAATATCTGGGAGGTCTTGAGCAAATGTAATTAACATAAACTTAAGAGGGCAAAACAAAGACAATCATAACCAGTGGCACCATTATGCAATAACGATAACTGATTCCTACATTGAAGTTTCTGTTTGGGGTCAAGTTATTACTTTATTTGCACTGTATTCTATGTGACTATACACAGAGTTTCCCCAAAAGTTTCAGTCTCAAAAAACAAACAAAAAAAGCCAGGAACCTATGTTCTTCTTTGTTGTTGTTGAGGCTCAAGTAATTAAACCATATTCGATTATTTACTGTAAAAATAAAAATAAGTTTGTCCATTATAAAGGGCAAATAGAGCAATTTATCTCATTCTTTTTCCAGAGGATTTCCTTGGAAACAGTATATTTGAGGTAAATTCTTCAAGGATTAAGCCTAATCTTTGGTTTTTATAGTGTTGGGATACCCCTAAAGTGGTGGGCAAAATACTGTGTAGATATATATAAGAATTTACCTCGGCCGGGCCTGGTGGCTCACGCCTGTAATCCCAGCACTTTGGGAGGCAAAGGTGGGCGGATCATGAGATCAGGAGATCAAGACCATTCTGGCCAACATGGTGAAACCTGGTCGCTACTAAAAATACAAAAATTAGCTAGGTGCGGTGGTGCATGCCTGTAATCCCAGCTACTGGGAACGCTGAGGCAGGACAATCACTTGAACCCAGGAGTTAGAGGGTGCAGTGAGCTGAGATCGGGCCATTGCACTCCAGCCTGGCGAAAGAGTTAGACCCCGTAAAAAAAAAAAAAAAAGAGAGAGAGAGAGAAAGAGAGAAAAGAAAAAACAATTTATCTTTTAAAGCAGCTTTGGAGTTCCCCATGAGATACAGGGAACAGGAAGTGTAGCTTTTGGTTTATCAAGGGAATATGAGAATTATTTTCTCTTTCTTCTTCTTTGCTATATAAAATGTGTGGGATTTTGTCCTAAATTCATAATACTCCCTTATAATGTAAATGTTAATGTTCACACAGTAATATGTTGTGTTTTTGCTCTCTCTTCTATTGATATGAAGGAATATTTTTATTGATGGGATTGTTTTAATTCCTAACATTATTTAACCTATAATCTGAGTCAGAGTACATACAAATCCCGACTAAATATAAACGCTAAACCAGCACTAAGGAATTATGATGTAATGAGACGAAGCTAACGTGGTTACCTTTTGAAATAATGAAAGGATGTTCCAAAAGCTGTCATCACCATAGTTGCTGGTGGTACATTATAGAAAAACCTGTGCCAAGACACATTCAATGTTAAACAACTGAAGCTGGAAATTATTCAGGATTTTATTAAAACCAGTAATTTATTTTAAAGTTAAGCATTAGTACAGAGAGAGCTGAAGTTACTTACTTAAGGACACATTCTATGTAAAGTAGCAAAGTTGGAACTAGAATCCAGGGGTCAAAGTCTTGTAAAGTGCTATAGTGATTTTTTTTTCTTTGATTCAGTCCTACTTTGTTTTAACTTGTCTCATCTCCCTGGTGATAATCAATAAATTAAAACCTGGGCTTTGTCCCAACATGGATGCTTAATACAGATGGGCCATGAAGTAAAAATGATTGTTGTTCCCCAGGTATGGTCAGCAATCACCACTAGGCAACACAAATAACATTTTCACCTGCCAGTTCACATTGCACTACTATTCTTCTAAAATAACATTTCTAAATTCCTTTTGTGCTCTTTCTGCATTGATAGATTATTCTTTTTAATTAACTTCCTTTATGACAACCTTTAAAGATACTATTACTGGATGAATAAAAATCTACAATTATTTTGTCTCCTTCTGGACTTTGTCTCATTATTTAAGTATTTTTAGCTTGACTCTTTTCCTGCTTCTCCTAACTCTCTCACCTCAACAACACTCTTGGTTAAAAAGAAGAAAATAGCTTCCTCAGTAAAATTTCTTAGAAAATTGAGACAGAATTGACCATTCCCTGTATTCCAATCTTGTGGGACTGTAATCTATTCCAAGGGAATGTTCAGAGCATTATAACCAAGTGGCT
This sequence comes from Homo sapiens, assembly GCF_000001405.40. Classification (NCBI taxonomy): domain Eukaryota; kingdom Metazoa; phylum Chordata; class Mammalia; order Primates; family Hominidae; genus Homo; species Homo sapiens. The sequence goes on from NC_000002.12 coordinate 52,496,609, forward strand.
TAGAATAAAAATCACATTACATTTGGAAATAATGGACATTATTTACAAATATAGTTTTATAAATATTCTCAAGTGACCCTTAATGAAAAGATACAAAGTAGGATATATTTATTCAAAAATGTGGGATTCTCCAGCTCAAAGAAACTGTCTGACATTCTTTGATATTCAAGATATATCATTCGTAGGCCACTAACTTCATTGGAATTCACCACAAAATGTTTGAGAAGATAGAAACGATTATTTTAAAAAAGGATAGGGGATATATTTTCAACATACTTGGAGACTACAAAAAAAATTGAATAGCCATATAGATATATTTCTCCCAGGACACAATCTCTACCTTTTTGAAAGTATTAAAGGAAGATGTCTACTCTGTAAGTTAAAATTTCTAAGCTGCATCATAAGCCAACTGGCCCTATGTTAGGTCAGTTTTAAATATCTATTTTCATGAGTAGAAGCCTCTCTATTCCTGGGATCCAAAAGGACCTAAAGGAATTGGTGTCCACATGCAAATGTTATTACCTTTTTATCCACCTTTTGTAGCAAGAACCTATGGTCGTATTAGTGAGCAAAAAATAACCTGAAACTGGAACTTATATTTAAAAGGGAAGCAGAGCATAACAGTTAGAAAATGTGTAGCCTGGCCATGTCGTAGTAAAGAAAAAAACCATTTTCAGGGGAGTTATTCAAGCCTGCTGCAGAAATTTGCATAAATATTAATAAAAAGCAGCTGAACATTAACAGCCAAGACAATGGGAAAAATCTCTGAAGGCCTTTCAGAGACCTTCACAGCAGCCCTTCCCATCACAGGCCTGGAGGCCTAGGAAAGAAGAATAATTGTGTGGGCTAGGCCCAGGACCCCTCTGCCCTAGACAACTTTGGGACACTGCTTCCTGTGTCCCAGCCACTCCAGCTCTAGCCGTGGCTAAAAAGGACACAGATGCACCTCAAGATCCTGGTCCAGAGGGTGCAAATGGAAAGCCTTGGCAGTTTCCACATTGTGTTAATCCTGCAGGTGCACAGAAGGCAAGAGCTGAGGCTTGGAAGGCTCCACCTAGATTTCATAGGATGTGTGGAAATGACTGGTGTCCAGGCAGAAGTCTACTGCAGAGGAAAAGCCCTCACAGGGAACCTCTACTAGGGCAGTGCAGAGGGAAAATGTGGGGATGGAGCCCCCACCCAAAGTCCCTACCAGGGAACTGCCTGGAGCTATGTGGAGAAGGCCACCATCCTCCCGACCCCCGAATGGTAGATCCACCAACGGCTTGTGCCATGGTCTTAGAAAAGCCACAGGCACTCAACGCCAGCCTGTGAAAGGAATTGCAGGGGTTACACCAATGGGATATGCACAGGGGCAGAGCTTCCCAATGCCTTCGGAGCCCACCTCTTGCATCAGTGTTACCTGGATGTGAGACAAGGAGCCAAAGGAGATTATTTTGGAGCTTTAAGATTTAATGACTGCCCTGCTGGGTTTTGAACTTGCATTGGGACTGAAGCCCCTTTGTTGTGGCCGACTTCTCCTTTTTGGAACAGGAGTATTTAGCCAACGGCTGTACCTCCATTGCATCTTGGAAGTAACTAACTTTTTTTTTATTTTACAGTCTCACAGGTAGAAGGCATTTGCCTTGTCACAGATGAGACTTTGGACTGTGGACTTTTGAGTTAATGATGACATGAGTCAATGCTTGGGGGACTGTTGAGAAAGGATTATTGTATCCTACAATATGAGTAGGGCATGAGTTTTGGGAGGGGCCAAGGGTAGAACAACATGGTTTGGATATCTGTCCTTGCCCAAATTTCATGACAAATTATAATCACCAATGTTGGAGAAAAGGCCTGGTGCGAGGTGAATGGACCATGAGGGTGGACTTCCCCCTTGCTGTTCTAATGATAATGAGTTCTCACAAGATCTGGTTGTTTTAAAGTGTGTTGCACCTCCCTGTGCTCTCACTTCCTCCTGTTCTAGCCCTAAGATGTGCCTGCTTCCCCTTTACCTTCTGTCTTGATTGTGAGTTTCCTGAGACCTTCCCAGGCATGCTTCCAGTACAGCCTTCAGAGCTGTGAGCCAATTAAACCTCTTTTCTTTATAAATTACCCAGTCTCTGGTAGTCCTTTATAGCAATGCAAGAATAAATTAATACACCATGTGTTCAGCCCAAACTCAGGAAGTTTAATCGCTAAAAGACAAAGAGAGAAAATTAGTATCAACAGAAAATAGGATATAATAATATTGCCAATCTACTATTGTGTAGCATGAGTACAGTTGGAATGATAACGATGGAGAGACAAAAGTTAGAAATATAAAGAAGGGAGTAGGAAGGAAGGGAGGGAGGGAAGGAGGGAGGGAGGGAGGGGAGGATGGAGGGAATAAATAAAGTGTATGTTTTTCAGATATTACCTGAAATTTTTTCTATTGATAGCTCAGAGTGAGAACATTGATTACGGATTAAACTGTAAACAACAACAAAAACCTATGCAAGAAATATAAATTGTCTGGGAGCTGACACTTGGGTAAGGTTTGGAAGAATCATGGGAACATCAACATAGCTATAATGGAAGAAAGATATCTCAAGTAGTGCTAGGGAATTTATGCTTAACATGGAATGTATTAAGAATGACATAAGAAATTGTATTCTTCTTAAGAGAGTAAATTTAATAAGATTTTATTAAGAAGATTCCATAGCAAGCAAATGTGGAATTGATTTGGAGAGGACAAGAATAGAATCAGCAAGTAAGGTGAGCAGTCTCATGATGAGCAATGAAAATAAGGCAAGGAGAGAGGAATGGAAAAGAAGGGATTATACAAGGAAAGCTTCTAAGGAGGAATTGGCAACAGCTGATAGTTACCAGGGTGTGGATACCACGTATTTTGAAATTAAAGACCTACTGGGCACATAAAGGAATTGGGTCTAAGGAAGAGTGGACAGAAACCCACAATCCTAGGAGATTATGAGTGCCAAAAAAATGTTTCTTTCCTGAAATTTTACTAAGGAAAATTGCAATCAGAAACTTTTACTTTAATGGCACTTTCTCCTAACTGGGGAATATTATCTTAGTTTCCAATGACAAGACTGAGTCTGAGAACCACTGAAATTTTCTTAAAGAAGCGGCTTGCTTCTTTAATAATAATAGCATCTTCATTGACATTCAGGCTTTTATAAGCCCAAAAATAATGATAATAAAATGTGGTTGTTCTTTAAAAAAAGTAATCAAATATTTCAAATTCCAAGTGAATTAAAATATAAAGTTAACCTCTTAAATCATTCAGTGAGAATTTTATTTCAGTGTTATAAACTGAGAGCATTAACTAAAAGTTAAAATAAAACAAGTCATTTATTTATAATAAAATATTGGTTTTTGTTTGAGAAGAAAAGATTCTAAATATATTCTGGATGTTAAATAAAGTGGCTCTGTCATAAAAATGCATCAATAAGTTAAAAGTTAATTATTGTATTTTTTAAAAATATACAATTACAGCATTTTTAATCCTTGAAGCTTTAGGCACTTCACCACTTTTAGAATTAAAGGTAATTAGGAAGCTAAAATTGAATTGCTACATTAATAGAGGTTACATTATTTTTCAAAGGAGAATTCTTAGATATTTTACTGATATTGTTGCTTTTGAATAACGTACCAGCCTAAATTTCTTTTACTCTGAGATATTTTCAAGCCAACTAATGACTTCAATTTGTCTTGGATTTTTAACTATTTGATGACCAAAAAAAGAAAGAAATACATTTAGAAATAAAGAGAAAGAAAAGAAGGAAAAATAAAGAAAAAAAAATCAAGTTATTTGGATAATTTCAAATCAAAGGGAGATGAAAAAATAAAGTCAGGTAAACAACTCACTAGAAGAAGAAACGCCAAGACATAAGACATGGGAAAGGCAAACGTGAAAAAGGCAATGAATTCACTTTACTGGAAACAGTGCTTACATTAACGTAGAAATGTAAAATAGTGAGACCCCCAGGTATCTTCTACCACTTGTCTCTCAGAATGCTGGCTGTCAGAGAAAGTGGGCCAAAGGGCGGAAAACAAACACAGAGATTAAAATTTGGTAGTCAGCCAAAAAGCAGCTGAGTCTTATCTAATTACTATAAAGTCTGACATTCAAAAGTCAAACTCTCATGTATTAATAGAACTTCTAGTCATCTCTGTATGCTTCATTTTAAATGGGAATGAACATTCCACGGTCACCATGGTTCAGAGTAATGAGCAAGAACTGCACACATAGACCCAAGAACACTTGTAAATAAAAGAAGATGGCATGGATCAAGAGAATATCCATGATGATGTCAGTTGTGTTAGCCAGTAAACAGGGTAAATCAGCTTGCCTTGCTGCAGTAGTAAAGAGGGGCCTACACATGCTTTTTATAATAAAATAATAAAATTGCCATGTTTGTTCACGTTCAGATCACATGCACAATTCTGTTACAGAGTTTGAAAAACAAACATTTGAATAGAAACTTAGTAAATCATTAAAGAAGTAAAAATAAAGCAACTTTTTAACCCTGGAAGAGAAAAATTTTGTCAAAATTATAAAATACAATTATAGCTCCCTACATACCCTGCTCAGATGTATATGTATGCAAAGTTACAATAAGCTAAACATAATTCATTGAATCAAGTTAGATTATACTATATTGACTCCTAAGGAGTGGGGAGTAGGAGTTAAAAATGTGGTGGTGTTGAAGCTCTGAGAGCTAAATCTGCACATTTCCCAGAGCCAATAGTGTCTTTAATACTAAAAATTTAACAGGTATAATCTAAATTTTAAAACTAAAAATAGCATTCTAAGTGAATAATTCAGAAGAATGGAGTTAAAGTCAAGAAGAAACATTTTAAAGAGCAAAAAATTGTTTTCTAAGGGAATTGAAAATCTAGAGAGTTCAGAGGCAGGAGGATGGAAGAGAGAACTGCTAGTTTTTACTATAAGCTTTACAGCCTCATTTGACTCTTTTAACATGTATATGTATTTTTTCAATTTTTAAAAATAATGACTATAGACTTCTGGTTTCCAGTGCAGCATGCAAGGAGCTTACAGGTCATCATTCCATCCAAGCAACAAGGAAAGAACTGAACAAACTGAAAAAAACAACTCTTCTTAGATCCGTGAGAGAAGTGAGGTCATAGGGCAAGCTGCTGTGCCCCAAACTGGAGAAACAGTAAGGCACGTACAAGAATCACAACTGATTGGAGTGGAAAGCCTTAAGCAGAAACCTCTGTGGGAACCCAGCACTGGGAAAGAAAAACCTAACCTGTAACTCACAAATTGCTAGAAGCTCAGGCTTGACAAGTCTGAGAGTTAAAAACCACAGGGAGGGCCAGTCCTAGTGGGCAGGGCACACCCACACTTTTGTGAGCTTTACCTTCATGAGCTCTACCAGGTTCTTATAGTTGAAGATGGGAGAAAAATCTCCTCCTGTTTCTGGCAGGAAAAGGGCAGATGTATGTGTGTTTAAATATTCCAGAACCTTCTGCTCTTCTTAATAAGTCCTGCCCTCAAAAGAAACTATTTTACCAGAGCATAGCCTATTGGAGTATTATCAGAGTCTAACCCACTGTGAGCTGAGACAGGGGACACCCAACTCTGGCCCACTCTAACCATCCTGTCCCACCTAAGGAGGAGAAAAACTCAGAAGCACTTTGTGGAGTTTCACAGCCCAGGGGCACAGACTGAGACCTAATCTCAGGTCCAGAGAACACTTTCCCTTTTACCACCACACCACTAAAGGCCTGTTTGCTGAAGTTCCTTTTATCCAGTACATCATGCCCAGCTTTCCACAAAAATTACAATGAGTATCAAAAGACAAGAAGTAATGAATAGATTACTTTGACCAAAATAGCTGGACACAGCCTTTTTTTCAGGCACAGTTTTACAGCTCACAACATTTATCTAATAATCCAGCAATGCGAGGGTAAAGTAAAACAACACATCTGGTCAATTTGGTATTTATTGCATTGTAAAAAAAGATAGCAACTGTTTAACCAGCAATGTAACAGGGAATTAACCAAGACAGTGAATTACCAAGTCATTTTCACTTGTTCATGATATTTGACCCAATGTCAGATAAATATTTGTCTCTAGTCAATATTACATAATTGCAGTGTATGAGGGAAAAATCACAGAGCAATATCATCTACTTAAAATCTTTAATCAAAGATATTTAAAAGTAGCAATTCTCTTGCCAAATTTCCACAAGGAATACAGCGTATGAGGAACATGTTTATTTTTCACAGAAAAAAGATTTAAGATTTGAAAAATGTTAATAAGCACAACTGTTTGCCACAATCCTATTTAAGTATTAGAAACTGAAATCCAAACATAGCAAAAGGGATACTTTGGAATATGAACTACCAAAAAGGATTAATATTTTCTCCCCAGCCATTTTCAGACTCACAATGTTATAAGTCATCCAGGCCTTGGCCAGGTTAGATGTGTGTTAGTATGAATCATTTACAGCTCCAAAACACAGGTTATCTCTAACTTTTCCCATTTCCATCTTTAAGACATTGTGCCTTGCAAATCTGGAATTAATTATATAAAAGACTGTCAAGCTACCTCATGTCCTTCTGGAAATGTGAGTGACATGTTTTTCTCCCTTCTGAAACAAATGAGAACAGTGTACACCATCTTCATAGGGCATTTTGCTCCTTGTAAAACGGCTTTCAATCGAATATTCTTTTTATAGTGATTGATTTTAAAAAATCTTACTATCACCAGCTCAATCTAAAGTCCCAGCTACACGTTTCTTTCATACAGGAATGGAAGTCTTGTATTCAGTGGAGCTTTTAGCAGCATTCTTGGAACTTAATAAATATTAAATACCATAATTTCCCAGAGATTAAAGTCACCATGATTTTAGATTTGACAATATATATGTTTATTACTAAGCAAAAAAAAATTTGAAAAATAACTGTTTTTTAATCAACAATTACAACCCAAATAGCCAAATAGCTAACATTTACCGAGCTTACTATGTAACATTAAGTGCTTTATTTACACTATTTCATTTTCTCACAGCCCTGAATGTTTCTAGTAATACTGCCATTCTAAAAATGAGGAAAATGCAACTTCAATATCGTCTAACTAGTAAGAGGCTGAATTAGAATTCAAACACAGTCCTTCTAACTCTATAGCCTAGGTTATTTTTTAATAAATTTTATTTTATTGTGGTAAGCACACTAAACCTAAGAACTACCCTCTTAACAAAATTTTATATATACAATATAGTTTTGTTAACTATAGGGATAATGTTGTATAGCAGATATCTAGAACTTATCAATCTTACATCTTGGATAATTGAGACTTTATGCCCAAGCTTTTAGCCATTATACTACAGGATATTTAGAAAGATACAGGCAATTACAAAAATAAAATGGAAATCATTCTTAAATTTGTCCCCTAACAATAACCAGTGACATGTTGGTGGATTTTTCTTCTCATCTTTATTTGTGCTTCTGTATATCTCTGAAAATTGGAATCAAACTAATAGAGTTTTAACATTATTCTTTTCATTTCAAAAACTACAATATTTCCCATGTCATTAAATGGCCTTTGAAAATAGAATTTAAAAGCTACAAAAGAAAAACATTTTTACTTAAATGATGCAAAGAATTGTCACAATTCTTTATGTCACTCAGCCTGTGTAGATTTGGTCAAAATGACCACATTTGTCTTCATTTCAGGGACTTTTAATTTCCTCCTAAGTTATCAAAATATATCAGTGGAGTTGCATTTTTTCTTTGCATTCCATATGCAGCCTTTCATCTGAAGCAGTTCCAAAGCAAGATGAAAGAATTTAACTCAATTGAGGGATCTAACATCACCTACAGCCTAATGGGTAGCCCTTCCTTGTCAAAACAAGCCAGCTGGAGACTAACTAGAGAACTTCACTAGGGATTACCTAAGTGGAAAATGGAATTTTTCTTCAAATGTAGTGAGATTTTTAAATTCATTCTTCCAGCTTTAAAAGTACAAAAAGTTCTCACTTTACATTGTTGATAGGCTCATGAAAACTGAGACATTAAGTGAAAGGATAGAATATCCTCTTGTTTAATGTCATCTAGTTACAACGTTGATGAGAAGAAAAAATTGCAGATTCCAATAACCTATCTGTGAAATTAAGTGAAGACCATTTGATTAACTTTTGTCCACTCATAATCCACATGAAAAGGTAGAACACTGGAGACCATGGTAGATACAGGACCAGAGAAGAGAAAAGTTGCTTCATTTAACACCAAAGAAGTTTTGATTGACATGCTTTTGTCCAGAAAAAATGAAGACTAGAGGCTCTCTAAATCTAAGAGTTCTTTTTGAACACTTAACGTTTTATTCATTTCCTTGCTCAATATATCCTCCCTGGGGCTACTTAGATCTCTATGGGAATGGTGTAAAGAATACAGTCAAAATCATGAATTTATTTTGATTTTCTGTTTACTCTTTTATTCCACTGTGCAGAAGAAAAATGGTACTTTATATGGATTTCAGTAAAAATAATCCATTAACAGATCACTGGAGGAAAGAAAGCTAAATTATGCTGCCTGTATGTAGAATACTATGGCAGTTGGTTAAGAATATCCATGGGGCATTCCTAAAAATGCACATGAAACAGGCTGGAGGTGGGGAGTTTTAAAGACTAAGCAGTGAGATGGGGAAAACCAATATGCTGGATGTTCAAACGTACACAACTGGGCAACCTAATTTAATATATAGATTTAGTTAAAACCCACATCAGTTTGTTGTGTAGTGTGAAGTATAAGCAAACTTCAGTAAAAGCAATACATCCTCTCCATGTTGGCATATTCATAGGTATAATAAAACAAATTGCCAGGAAGGAGAAGACAATTACTTTACATTCTTACAAAATACTATGGATATAAGTTGAATTAGTGTTCTGTTTCTCTGATTGTCCCTGAGATGGCTGTGTTTTACTACAATTTGCTTTCCTTTCCCCTATCAAATATTCAAATGGGAATGGCCGTCTTTTTACATGAGCCTACCTCCCTGGCTGTCACCTTGGACTCAGTGAATAGATTCTATCTATTCATGACTCAATGAATAAACTCTGTCTATTAATGACTACAGCCAGTCAGTCACAGAACTCTTCTTCTGGCCATTGTTTAGTCCACCTCTGTGAAGCACACAAACCATTATTGGCAGTTGGTGTTTGTTCTCAATATTGTATTATTTGAGCTGTTGATAGAGAATTGTTTTCTTTCTGGTGATGAAGCTTTTAAGAATTGAACTGTTGGCCGGGCGCAGTGGCTCACGCCTGTAATCCCAGCACTTTGGGAGGCCGAGACGGGCGGATCACGAGGTCAGGAGATCGAGACCATCTTGGCTAACACGGTGAAACCCCGTCTCTACTAAAAATACAAAAATTAGCCGGGCATGGTGGCGCACGCCTGTAGTCCCAGCTACACGGGAGGCTGAGGCAGGAGAATGGCGTGAACCCGGGAGACGGAGCTTGCAGTGAGTCGAGATCGCGCCACTGCACTCCAGCCTGGGCGACAGAGCGAAACTCCCTCTCAAAAAAAAAAAAAAAAAAAAAAAAGAATTGAACTGTTAGTAGCCATACTTCCAGGTACTTTAAGATACCAATCAGAAATAACGAGGTCAACATACAGAAAGAAGCAGAGATAAAGATGGAAAGAAGTCCGACTTTTAGAGAACTATTGAAAATCCAATGAATATATTTTAACTTGTTTGAAAGGGTTTTTTGTGAATTTTGTGATGAAATAAGATACTTTCTTGTAATAGAAATAAATCTGAGTCTAAATCCAGAGCATTTAGTTGTGTTTGACAATATGGCATTGTCTGTTTTGGGTGGGGGGAATTTAAGAAAATAAAGTCTAATTTTCTGCTTTTTCTGATTTTTCTTTTCATTTAGTTAAAATTTATACTAGAAGAATATAATTTCCACCATATATAAGATCATGAGATCATTTCAGTAATTAGCTATTGGCATGTGTTGAAATATATACTTTTGATAATCTGTAATTTGGAATTTTGGCTTATGACAGTTAAGGAATAAACAGTGAGATAGGGAAAAGCAATTAGCTTTTCATCTTATTTATGGTAAGAACTGCATTCCTCTAGAAAAGTTTATAAAATTTATCTATGAATCTAGAACGGCTCTAAAGCCTATTAAAATTTTAAAGAGAAAAACCTATGAGGATTCTCCCTTGTAGTCACTAACAGTCTGATTAAGTTATTCGGATTGAGTTTATTTGATCCACAGACATCATTTATTAACCCAGGAAAGTATTGTTTCTATGAAGGAAGTACATTAGTGTGATGTAGGTAACTATCATGTAGCAGATTCAAATCTCATAGAAATTGTAGCTAGAACTGGCCACTATATACCAGATCGACTGACCTTCAGTTGTTTCCTTTGAAATTTCAACAATCAGTGGGAGATAAAATCAGTGAAAAAATAGTTGACAGGCCTGTGTTGCATACTGCTGCCTTAGGGATACAATTTTTTCCCTGAAATTACTTTGGGTATATATTCAGATTTAGTCCACTAGTATAACATGATAGAAATGTTCCCATAGATTTTAAACGGGTGCTGGGAGAGAACTCAGAAAAAAAAAAAACTTAAAGAATTTTCTATCTGGAAGAAAACTATTTTTGATTTAAAAAACAGTGAAATATATTATAATTTATTTTTAAAAATCTAAGTTGCAAAAATGTCATAAGTACAAGTCTTTGATCTCCATGGTGAAGTTCTACACTAAAAATTATGTCAAAATTCCTGTCTTTTTATATGCTAAGCAGTCTATATGACCTTACAACACTATACTGAACCCTGAGTTTTATGCACTGAATGTATATTTTTGGGGGGAGAATTTAAAAGCGAAGACTAGAAATATGAAGGAAAAAGATAATCTAATGATAATTATAATTTATTTGTTAATTAAAAAATATGTGCTGACCAAAAAAAAAGAACAAGATATATTTAGGTAAAATATCATGTGAGAAACAATCCAAGTATGGGAATTACAGGAATATATTTTAGTCTAACTTTTATTCTTAAATAGCTGTGTGATCTCGGGCAAAACAATGAACTGTGGCCTTCATTTTCTTATCAGATGTGATTTCCAATATGTGGTATTTGAGATCACAGAGGATCAAAGATGTTATAAATTCATGATGTTTGTGGCAGGTGAGAGAAGGGAGAATTTATAGTGAAGAGAGCATAGGTTAACTATGAAGGGCTTCCATGGAGAGGTATTTTAGAAAGCATGGAGTAGTAGGAAAGAGGGATTTTGAAGATGATAAAAAAGGACTACATGCAAAGAAATCCTAAATAATTAGACATTCAGCCAAAAATGAGTATTTAGAATAGATATGTCCAAATGTTTTCACATTTATATGCATAGTTGTGAAAATATGGCAGGTCAGTCCAAGAACAAGCTCTGGACTCCAATTCATAGCAGCTGAATCAAGACTCTTTTCACTAACTAGCTTTTTGATTTGGGAAAACCACTTTAATTTTCATCTGATTCAATTTCTTCAACAGGAAAATTGGGAATAATAACACCTTATAGAATCAGCTGTTGGCTTAAAAAATGTATGAGGGACTTTAGGTCTGGTACATAGGTTTTACTCAGTAAAATATACTGGCTGATATTGTTATCATTTTGTATAGCCAAAGCTCATGTTTTTCAAGTCAAATGCTTTGTTCTTAAAAAATGGAGACGAGAGCAAAGTGGAGTGACTCACACTTGAAATCCCAGTGACTAGGGAGGCTGAGGCAGAAGGATCACTTGAGGCCAGGAGTTCAAGGTTGCAGTGAACTATGTGATCTTGCCACCGTACTCCAGCCTGGGCAAAAGAGTGAGACCCTAGTTCTTCAAAAAAAGCATGGTGGGAGAACCTCTTTAATACTTCCATTTTTTATAATTGGTAGGATTCTATCTTTAAAATGTCATTTTGTGATTTAACATATTCTTTTAAGACTTTGACAGGTTTAAGAACAATTTATTGTATACTTACTCTGTAACAGACACTGTCCTAGAAGTGGAAACATTAAATAAAAATTATGTCATAATGAAGGAGGAATCTAATAGTAGTTAAGAACAGCAGCTCTGGAAGCAAACAGCCTAGACTGAAATGTTGCCTGTAACTCTTCCTTAAGGTTTGGCTTAGGAAGTCACTGCCTTTTTGTTTCTATTGTTTTCTCTGTAAACTTTAAATAATAACTATATCTAGTATTATTTTGAAGTTAATTAAGATAAAATTTAAGGAACTTATAAGAGTTTTGGCTACAGCAAAAGTTTAAAAGATGCTTAGTGTTATTATGGCTTGAACTCTGAAAAGAATAACCAAAAGGTAGTAGTGGTTATTAATAATTTGACTTACTAAGTATATTTTTAGTTCCTTAGAAAATAAATGAAGTTATGTAGTTATGCTGATATTAGACCTTCTTCATCATTTGCAAATTAGCAAATTATTATACCTACTTAACAATCTTGGTCCCAGCCCATTCCCTTTCTCAATGATATCCTGGCTTTGTCTCACAAAGTTCTTTTGTTTGTAGTGGAATCAGGGGAGCTGAATTTTTCCCTATATTTTCTAACGACACAATCATATGTTACATTGTCTTGCCAAGGGTCACTTTGCGTGTAGGCTCACTTCGCATGTTACACCATGATATGCTTGGTTCTTCAACACACTCCTTTACTTATGCTGATTTGGGGTAAGCTTTCTTATTTAACTGATTAAGGGCTAGAGTCATGTAGGCTTTCCCAGTCTCCACAGACCTTCAGCCTTGATTGTATGGCCACAAAGTGAGTAAACTTCCTGGTTATTTCTCTTTTTCAGCACTTGCTAACTATTGATGCTTGAATACTGCCAAACTACCAGATAGCAGTCAGGCTAGCTTCATAAACAATGTTGGTAAATCTACAAAAACTCGTTTTTTGATGCTGCAAGATTAATGACTAGATATGCACTCTGGCTATTATATGTGGTTAAGTTTAAATTAATGTAAATCAAACAATTTTTAAATGTAGCTCTCTAGTCAAACCCATTCCAAGTGTTTGACTCGTGCTTGTTTTTAGATAACAAAGACTAGAATAATTGTATCATTGCAGAAAGTTCTACTGGATGGTTCTAGATCTAGAACATGGTAAATACAATAAAGTACCAGCCAACCTGAAAAATCTTTCTGTTTAGACAATTGGCCATTCTCTCCTATCAACATATTACCATCTAGCAAGTTTCTTGCCTAATTTTACATTCCACTAAGTGACATATTATAAATAAGTGTTGAATTGCATGTGTCAGTATTTTAATGTATAGGCCCTTGCAAGCACATGGGTCAAAAACTATTGCAAAGGAAACAAGAAGTATAATTATTCCAAAAGTTTCTGTTATAAGCTATTCATGGTAAAAATAACTAAGCCATCAGTAATTTACTTGGTATGTAAAAAGCCAAATTTCACACTATAGACAAAAGTGGAAGGATTGTTTGAACTGGTATCTTGGATGGCCTGATAAAAGTGCAAAAATATCAAGTAAATGAAAAAGAGTAAAGCATGCAACATGTAGTTGTCTAGGTTTTTAGGTACCAAAAAAGCAAAAATACATAAGTAAATAACATTTCTTTAAAATGCTAAGAACAGAGAAACTAAAAATGTTCTTGTATAAGACATGGCAAATGAAACTAGCATTTATTCCCCTTTATTAATTTGAAATTTATAAAATGGCATTGATATTCTACTTATCTAATGTGTTACATATTTTTTAACTTAGCATACAAGCGTGACAGGAAAAAAAACAAATATTTAGCATGCTTTATTGTTAAGATTTGTAAGGTGGCACTAATTTCTTAATGTAATATGCTATTTTAAAATCTTGGCATAAAACGTATATAACCTTATTTAAATAGTCTCTTATGTGTTGGGACTTTGAATTATCTTCCAAACAGTTATTTATTTATTTAATCATTTATACATTTATTTGCTCAACAAATACTTCTGATTCTCTAACATGAGTCATGCTCTGCTGGGCCCTGAGTGGACAACAGTGAACAAGTTAGATCCACTAGGAATGACTAACATTAATCAAATAACCACTGGTGAATTTATACTTACAAAACAGTGAAAACAATGAATTTTATGGAATATTGAAAGGAAACTGAGTTAAAGGAAAGACTTTCCTGAGAAAAGAATTCTTTAAATCAGTACTGAAGCTTGTGGAACAATGTTCTTACTGAAGAAAGACATGATCTGAATGAAAGCTGGCGTCATGGCGGTAAAGGAAGACATAGGTGGTACCAGTTGACACCAAGGACACAGAAGTTGATCAGATTATACATGCCTCTTAGGTCCTGTTGAAACTTTATCTTTAGCACAATGTGAAACCTTGAAAATGGCTTAAATCAATAGGAAAATGAAATCAACAGAGACACATTTTGATAAGATAGGTTTTGCTGCAGGATGGAGACTCAGTAACAGGATGGCAGAGTAGATATGGGAGAAAATTATGGAAAGCATTTTAGCAGTCGAGATGAGAGAGGACAATACCTTGGACAAAGGTTCAGGCAGTGAAAATAAAGAGAAGTGGATAAAATTTAGAGATCCAGAAAGTTATAAAGAAACTTGCAATGAATTAAATATACAGTTTAAAGGAAACAGAGATGGCAGAGATAACTAATTCATAGAAGTAAATTTTCATAGAATTAAAAGCATAGATTCACAAAAGTGAATGCATAGGGATCCAATTATTAAGATAGGAGACTATGAAATGATTTTAGGGGAAATGGTATGAGTTTAAATTGAGCATAATAATTTTAAGGATGGATGTGGACCTGGGATGACGATAGGTCATATATATGTGTGTGTGTGTGTGTGTGTGTGTGTGTGTGTGTGTGTATATGTGTGTGTGTGTGTGTATATATATATAGATATAATTTATATAATGGTACTCTGTGTCTTCTCTTAAAAGGAAGAAATGAGAGAAATCAGAAAATATGGTTAGTAAATAAGAAGTCCACATTGGCATATCAGTCTGCTATAACATCTTTTAAAAAGAGCCCCTTATGAAATCATTCTGAAGGTCAGACTAACACCTGTTGCTTTCTTAGAGTTTGTGTTTCTGAAATTCTCTGTTATGTAGCAAGGCCAACCACTCCCAATCTATTACTTTCCACATCTGGTATTACAACATGCAAATTATCAAGTAAAGTTTGCCACAGTTGGCCTTGGCTGACCATTTCCCACTTTGCATATTATATTCTTTTACAATCTAATTAATAATATATTAAACCTGAGCATTTGCAAGACACACTAGTACCATTTTAACTTTTCTAGATCCTGACAATGGAGTTTTATTAATAATTCATAACAGTGTGCTAAATAATGAAAGCTCTGCCAAAGTGTCTGTCATGTCATCCAACCCAGACCCTTCCTGAGACCTGGCCTTCCTTGTTGTACACAAATGCTATTGGCAGAACTCCATAGGAAAACATGTTTCTGCCAATCAAATCCCAGGAGGTGGGGGCTACCTGCTGATGAATCCACATTGCTGATTCAATTCTGCAAAACATAAAACTCCATAATAAATATTTTCTAAAACAAAACATGGTACCTGAATGTTGAAATGTAAATAAAAATGAATTAACTATACAGCCATGAGTGTTTAAAAAGAAGGGTGAAAATTTTATTTGAAGAAAAGGAGAGCATATAGAGAAAATGTGCATTACCCACCAGGCTCAGGAATATACAGTGCATTATTATAGTGCGTTATTTTATAATCCTTAATATATTTAGAACACTGGTAGCTGACTAGGAGAAAAGATTAAAAACAGAGACAGAGAGTGACATCAGCAAGATGGTGAAATGGGAGATCCTAGCTCCCAGTCCCATGAAAAACACTGATTTTTATAACCACTTATGGGCAAGAATACCTCTGTGAGAGTGCTTGAGTCTGCCTGAGGTTCCAGCACCTAAGTGGAGTAAAAAAAATCCAAGAGTGGACGCATTAAGAAGGTAGGAATCAGCTTCACTTTATCTGCATCATTCCTCCCTCAAGGCAGCACAACTCTGTGTCGAGAGGCCCACTTGGCTCACCGTTACTTCTACAGGAGAAAGTGAGACAAATGCAATAACTCTGCTTCCCCAGACTTGCAGGATATTGCCTAGGAGACCTACTTTTGTCTCTCCCCACCCAGAACACTGAGGGGATTTGCACTGCTGAATCATCAGGAACATCTAGGAGCAAGGTGACAGCGAAGGAGTGCACAGCAGCCAGTCCCTTGCTCTCAATAACCTGCCGTCATTCCTGCTAACCAGCTCATAGGCTCCTCCAAAAGGCCAGACTACTAAGAAAAGATTAAGCTGACTAAGCTAGATTAAGAAAGCTTGATTAAGAAAAAAAGAGGACTCAAATGAACATAATTATAAATTAAAGCGGAGACATTACAACTGATACCACAGGAAAAAAAAAGATCGTAAGACTATTATGAACAATTATGTGCCAACACATTGTATAACCTAGAAGTGGAAAAATTTCCAGAAACATACAACGTACAAAAACTAAACAATGAAGAAACAGAAAATCTAAACAGTACAATATTAAGTAAGAAGATTGCATCAGTAATCAAAAATTTTCCCCAAAGTAAAGCTCATGACAGATGGTTTCATTGAGGAATTCTACCAAACATTTAAAGAAGAATTAATGTCAATCTTTCTCAAACTTTTCCCAAAAAATGAGGAGGGAACAGTTCCAGATTCATTCTGAGGCTAGCAAAGAACACTACAAGAAAAGGAAATTACAGGCCAATATTCCTGATGAACGTAGATGCAAAATGTTTTGACAAAATACAGCAAACAAAATTCAAAATCACCTTTGAAGGATTATACACCATGATCAAGCACAACTTATTCTGGGAATACAAGGATGATTTGACATATGCAAATCAATAAGTGTGCTACATCACATTAATGGAATGAAGGACAAAACCATATGATTATTTCAACAGATGCAGAAAAAAACATATGACAAAATTAATCATCCTTTTATGATAAAAACTCAACAAATTAGGTATAGAAGGGTTGTACCTCAACATAACAAAGTGCCTAAGTGGCAAGCCCACAGCTAACATTATAATTAATGGTGAAAAGCTGAAAGGTTTTTCTCTAAGATCAGGAATAAGAGAAAGGATGCTTACTCTTACCACTTTTATTTATCATGTATTGGAAGCTCAGTCATAGAAATTAGGCAAGAAAAATAAATGAAAGGCATCCAGATTAAAAATGAAGAAGTGAAAATATGTTTTCTGATGGCATAATCATATAAATAGAAAATCCAAAAGACTCTACCAAAAAACTGTTAGAATAGATAAATCCCATAAAGTTTCAGAATACAATATCAATATACAAAAATCAGTTATGTTTTATACCCTAACAATGAACTATCTGAAAAAAATTAAGAAAATAATCCCATTTATAATAGTATCAAAAAGAATAAAATACTTAGGCATAAATTTAAATAAGTTGATAAAAGACTTGTGCATGGAAAGCTGTAAAACACTGATGAAAAAATTAAAGTACACACAAATAAATGGAAACATATCTTATGTCCATGGGTTGGGAGAATTAATATTGTTGAAATGTCCATACTGCCCAAAGCAACCTAGAGATCTAATGCAATACGGTTCAGGACATGCTACCCCAAAACATGGCACCTTGGCATCTGAAAAAACAGATGAAGAAGAAAAGTCTCTCTGACCTTGTTGCATTGTTTCCCCCTGAAGTTGGCCACATAAGAATTCTTTAACCCTTTTCTAAAGTAGGTCATAAGACTGTCTTTTTAGAGGGGTCCTCCCTATACCTGGAGAAAAGGAATGAAGGCATAGAAACACCAAGAAGAATCTTAAGAGAAAGGCCTTTCTGAGTTCCCTTCAGTTTGTTACCATTAGATCATATTATTTTGCTCTCTAATTATACTTCTGCATGACTGTTTGCAAAAATACATAGTTCTCCCTGTTACCTTGGGTGTTCCTTTCCAAAGCCTCCTGTGTCACATAAAACTTTTATTAAATATATTTGTTATGCTTTTCTCTTGTTAATCTACCTTTTGTTACAAGGATCTCAGTCATGAACCTAGTAATGGATGAGGAAAGAAATCTCTTCTCCCAAACAAATGTGATCCCTATAAAAATTCCAATTACATTTTTTATTGAAGAAGTAAAAGTAATTCTAAAATTCATATGGTATTACAAAAGTCCCAAATAGTCAAAGCGATATTGAGCAAGAAGAACCAAGGTGGAGGCATCACACTTCCTGATTTCAAATTATATTACAAAGCCATAATAAACAAACAGTACAGTCTGACACAAAAACAGACATACAGACCAATGTAACAATAAAAAACCCAGAAATAAACTTACATTTATATATTCAACTAATTTTGGACAAAGATACCAAGAATACACAATGGAGAAACGATAGTTCTTTGGTAAGTGTGCTGAGAAAACTGAATATCTACGTGCAAAAACATTAAAACTGGACCCTTATCTTACATCATAAACAGAAATCAACTAAAAGTAGAATAAATATGTAGACATAAAGCCTGCAACCAGAAAACTAGTAGAACACAATGTAAAAGAAAAGCTCCTTGACATTGGTTTTGGCAATTTTTTTTTATATGACACCAGAAACACAGGCAATATAACCAAAATAAACAAGTAGGATCATATCAAAATAAAAAGCTTCTGCCCAGGAAACAAAACATTCAACAAAATGAACAGGCAACTTATGGAAGTAAAGATTTGCAAAACACGTATCTATCTGATAAGGGTTACTATACAAAATACATAAGAAACTCATACAACTGAATAGCAAAACAGACCCAAACAAAAACCAAATAACCTTAACAAAAATGGGCAAAGACCTGAGTAATTTGTCTAAAAACGACATACAAATATGTAACAGATATATTAAGAAGTGCTCAACATTGCTAATGATCAGGAAAATCCAAATCAAACTGCAGTGATTTATCGTCTCACAACTGTTAACATGGGCTATTATTTTACAAAAAAAAAAAAGAGAGAGAGAGAGACAACAAATTTGGTGAGAATGTGGGCAAAAGAGAGTCCTTACACATTGTTGGTGGGAATGTAAACTGGTGAAGACATTATGGAAAACATAATGGAATATGCTGAGGAAACATACAGGGTTTAATGAAGGAGTTAAAGCTAGAAAAACTGTATGACCCAGCAATCCCAATGTTGTGTATATATTCAAAGGAATTGAAAGAATCTTGAAATATCTGCATTCCCATGTTCATTGCAAAATTATTTACCATATCCAAGATAATTCAACCTTAAATGTTCATTGATAGATGAATAGATTAAGAAAGTGTCATATATTCTTACAATTGAATATTATTCAGCCTTTTAAAAAAGGAAATTCTATCATTTGCAACAACATAATGCCTAGAGGACATTATGTTAAGTGACGTAAGCCAGGCACAGAGAGTATTTGTCTCTTACTTACATGAGAGTTTTAGTCTGTTCAGGCTGCTATAATAAAATATCATAGACTAGGTATCTTATAAACAATATAAATTTATATTTCTCAGAGTTTTGGAGGCTGGAAAGTCAAAGATCAAGACATAGGCCATTTCCATGTCTTGTGAGGGTCTACTTTCTATTTATAGATGGCACATTGTCATTGTGTCCTCACGTGGTAGAAGGGACTAGCTAGCTTCTAGGATCTCTTATAAGAGCACAAATCCCAATACTGAGGGCCTTGCTCTTATAATCTAATTACCTCTCAAAGGCCCCACCTCCTAAAACCATCACCTGTGGGGTGAGGATTCAACATATGAATTCAAGGAGCAGGCACAAATGTTTAGACCATAGAAATGTATAATCTAAAATAGTCAGACTTAGGGAAGCAAAGCAGCATGGTGGTTGCCAAGGGCTTGAGTGAGGAGAAAATGAGGAGGTGATTTTTAAAGGGTATGAAGTTTCTGTTATACAAGATAAGCAAGTTTTAGAGACCTACTGTACAGCATAGTGCCTATAACTAACAATACTGTACTGCTATATTTTATACTTAAAATTTGCTAACATGATAGATTTTATGTTAAGTGTTCTTACCAAAAAGTTCCCCCAAACCACAGATTGTTTATAATAAAGGGGGTGGGAGGAAGCTTTCAGAGGTGATGAATATGTTTATGTCCTCTATAGTGGTGGTGGTTTCACAGGTGTATGCTGCTACCCAAGCTCATGATGTATATATTAAATATGTACAGATTTTTATGTGTCGATTATACTTCAATAAAGTGGTCAAATAAATAAATTCCCCTTAAAATAATAAAAGCAGGAAGGGAGTATATATTTTTTCAAAATGGCAGTTCCTTAAAGCTGTGGTTTTCAACTTTGCTTATTCAATCATTTGTTGCTTAACGAGGATATATTCTGAGAAATGCATCATTAGGCAATTACTTCATTGCACAAACATCACAGAGTATACTCACACAAATCCAGATGGTATAGCTTACTACACACCTAGGGCTATGTGGTATAACTTATTGCTTCTAGGCTACAAACCTGTTCAGTGTGTGACTACACTGAATACTGTAGGCAACTGTAGCACAATGTTAAGTATTTGTGTAAATAAATATATCTAAACATAGATGAGGTACAATAAAAACCAGTATAAAAGATAAAAAATGGCACACCATTTGGTAGGATAACTACCATTAATGGAGCATGAAGGACTGAAAGTTGCTTTGGGTGAGTAAGTGAGTGATGAGTGAACGTGAAGCCCTAGAACATTACTCTATACTACTGTAGACTTTATAAACACTGCAAACTTAGCCTTTCCTAAATTTATTTAAATTTTTTTCAATAATACATTAACTTTAGCTTACTGTAAACTTACTTTAAAGCATTTTTATATTTTAAAATTTTTTGATTCTTAAAATAACACAGCTAAAAATGCAGCTGTACAAAAATATTTTTTATACCCTTATTCTGTAAGTTTGTTGCTATTTTCAATTTTTTTCTTTTACTTTTTAAACACTTGTGTTAAAAACTAAGGCACGAACACACACATTAGCCTAGGCCTGCACAGGTCAGAATTGTCAGTATCACCATTGTCCACCTCCGTATCTTATCCCACTGGAATGTCTTGAAGGGCAATAACAAGCATGGAGCTGTCATCTCCTATGATGAGAATGCCTTCTGGAATACCTCCTGAAGGACCTACCTGAGGCTGTTTTACAGGTAACTTCTAAAAATACATAAGTAGAAGGAGTACACTCTAAAATAATAAAACATATGGTATAGTAAATGCATAAACTAGTAACATAGTTGTTGATTATCATTATCAAATATGTACTATATATAATTGCATAGGATATACTGTTATATGACTGGCAGCACAGTAGGTTTGTTTACACCAGCATTTCCATAAACATATAAATAATGCATAATTCTACAACTTTACAATGTATACTACAATGTCACCAGGCAATAGAACTTTTTCAGCTCCATTATAATCTTATGGCACCACCAACATATATGCAATCTGTATTGACCAAAAAGTCTTTAGACAGGTGATAACTATATCAGTAACCTCTGGGGAACATTTAAAAATTTCCAATGTCCTAACATCATCAGCCAAGCTTCTGATTTAATGAATATGAGATGTAGTCTGACCATCAGATTTTTTTTCTTTTTATTTCACCTAATGTAATTCAAAGATGATTGACACCACTGCATTAGAGTCGTCTTCTCAACAATGTGGATTAAAGAGGCAAACAAACCGTAGGTGGATTTGTGCTTTCCTGAACCAAACCTATGTTAAGTGTTTGACTTGGAGATTTATCTAAATAAATGAGGGCAAGCTACAATTTCTAATTGACAAGTAAAGTCTAAGACACTGACTAATACAGGTTGGTTTCTCTCATTGATTGGATTAAAAGTTCTCACCTCATGAAAGTACAATAGAGTGTGTAAACTCGGATTTTCAATTAGAAAGTAACTCTCTTTCATCTAAGCAAATTTCATGTTTCCAGTTCTTACAGATTTAATCCTTAAAGCCAGAATATTTATGAATAAGAACACTGCAATTTTCACTTTTTATTCTAGAATGAATAGACTTGACAGTAATCTCAGCCTCTTTTCAAATTTTAAGTAATTAGATGCCAAATAATATTTCCCTACTGCCCTAAGGAATTAAGCACCAAGTTTTTCCCTATCAAGGACTCCCTTCAGTGGAGATGTACATTCTCTGAATTGTCAATTCTTGAGTCATAATAGTGGCTCTCATGTTCTTTTAGATTTTCAAGATGGAAAACTCATATTTAGTTATATCATCCTGTTTACTTCCCACAAGTGATCTGTCATCAAATCTCATATTTTCCTGAGAAGTATCTCTTAGATTCTCCAGTTGCTTCTTGTTACCAAGACTTCATCTAGAACATCCTCACTACTTTTTGGGACAAATTTTTTATAGGATGAGTCAACACTTTAAAATATAAATTTTACCAAAATCTCTTTGTCAAGAGTATATAATTGTTCTATGTCACTGATAAGGTGATATGGTTTGGCTGTGTCCCCACCCAGATCTCATCCTGAATTATAGTTCCCATAATCCCCACATGTCGTGGGAGGGATGTCGTGGGAGGGACCCAGTGGGAGGTAACTGAATCATGGGGCAGTTACCCCAGTGCTGCTGTTCTCATGATAGTGAGTGAGCTCTCACAAGATCTGATGATTTTATAAGGGGCTTTCCCCCCTTTTGCTGGGCACTTCTCCTTGCTGCCACAATGAGAAGAAGGACGTGTTTGCTTCCTCTTCCTCTATGAATTTTAAGTTTCCTGAGGCCTCCCCAGCCATGGTGAACTGTGAGTCAACTAACCCTCTTTCCTTTATAAATTATCCAGTCTTGGGGATGTCTGTATTAGCAGCATGAGAATGGACTAATACGTAGGCAAACTCCAAACTCCAGAATGCTTTCCTTTTTAACAAATAAAAGTTAAACAGTGTCTTAACTTCTTCCACTAACATTTACTTACTGTACTTGAAAATTACCCAAAGGAAAACAAACTCTTTTAGTTATATGAAAGTTGAAGTCTCTGTCTTATACTTTATTCTATAATATTACAGTGTGGATAGTAGGAAGGACAAGGGTGTTAAAGTGAAATACAACTGGATTCAAATGCTTACTTTGTTGATTACTGTTTGCTCATGAGCAAGTTTTCAAAACTTTTTATATTCAGTTTATTCATTGTGAAGTGGGGTTTAATAAATGTCAACCTATTGAGTTGTTATGAGTTCTCTACAAAAAATATCTATCATCTATCTTTCTGCCAATCTTTCTATCTCTATCATCTACATTGATAGCCTATGCCATATGTTTTGAACAGTTATCCTCAATAAACAGAAGCTCTTGTTGCGATTTCTTTCTTTTCTTTCTTTCTTTCTTTCTTTCTTTCTTTCTTTCTTTCTTTCTTTCTTTCTTTCTGTTTTTAATAACATAGTATTTATCTACAATGAAAAACCTGTACTAGGAAGAAAATGGCAGTCCTTCTTCAAAGGGGTTAATTTTCTTTTGTAAGATTCAGGAATTGATGGCTGAGGTGTTATTTTTTTCTTGTTTACAG
This sequence comes from Homo sapiens, assembly GCF_000001405.40. NCBI lineage: Eukaryota > Metazoa > Chordata > Mammalia > Primates > Hominidae > Homo > Homo sapiens. The sequence continues at coordinate 52,520,244 of NC_000002.12, forward strand.
CATAAGTTTAAACCACAGAAAACATCAAAACCTAGCTTGGCTTTGTTTAGTATGTGTCATAACTTGGTGATTCAAAGGATCTTTGCTTTTTAGCTTCCAAGTGAAAGGGTTTGTTTATGGTGTCTACAAAGGTAAGAACAAAATTTGCTAATTAGAAATTGAAAAACTTAGTCAATCAAAAGGCCTTTGTTGTTAGGTTTTGATCATGGCAAAAGGAGGAGTTTTGCATTTGCCTAGATGCATACAAAAGGCAATTTGTTAAAATAGCAAAAGAGCAGCAAAGGCTGTCTGTTTCTCTGCTTACTCTGAATATACTACAAGTAGAAAGCATAGGCTCTTTACCAGTTCACCAGTAATCACATTTTTGGTACAAAAGGGGACTCTGCAAAGGCAAATTTATTTAGGCTTAAAAATTATTCATGTTCTTCCTTCCAATCAAATACCACCTGGCACAAATATTTGGCCCTCAATAGGAGAGAACCTGTAGTGGGAACAGAACCTTGTAAATGAGAGGAGGAAAACTTATTCACCACTGTGACCCTTTTCCTTTTCCTTATGGCCTTTTCTCTGTGTGAGAAATCAGGGAAGTCTGCACAGCTGACAGGCAAGGGAGGAGAAACTGCAGGGGCAAGGTGCACAATGTGGATATAAAATTCTACTCTAAGAGAGTGTGGAGGGAAGCCACATTTGAGTTGATAACATTATTTTATTCCTCTTAATATAAGAAGACACTTTTTGTCATTTAAATTGATTTGGTTAAAAGAAGACATAGATGAAATAGAAATACGAGAGGAAAGGACATTTTTCCTTCTCAGAAACTGTGTGCAGGAGTTTGAAAATGCGGGATAGATGGCTGTCCCAGGAGAATGATCGAGGAAAGTGTGATCCTGCAGTAGTAAACGCAAGCATGAGGCATCTTTCTTATTTATACATTAGAGTTCTTTCAACTCATATGTGATTTAAAAGAATATTGAAATACTACCAACAGTGTTTTCTCTTTTCCTGTGAAATGCTTATTTTCAATCTCAAATTAACTTCCATATTCTTTAAAAACTTTCCATTCCACTCACAGACACAGGATTTTCTCCCTTCTCTGACATATGATCTTTCTTTGTGGAGAAAGGGTCTTTTATACTCTGGTGGTGCCAGCATTACCCAGGGCAGCAAACTTTCAGCAAGGCAATTTGAAATGTATCTGAAAAAATGTAAGTGTATATACCAGGAATTTATATAAAGAAAATGCATGGACTATGTTTAGAGGATATTAATTGCAAGGTTAATTATAAATTAAGAAAAAAAGAAACAAATCTCATGTCCTATAACATAGGATCAGTTAAATAAGTTATGGAAGATAAAAAATGGATAGTATGCAATAGTTCATATAAAAATATGTATTTATATTTACTTATGTAGAAATGAATTTGAGGTACAAATGTAAACTACATAATGGTATGTGTTAGATGATTATATATATATATATATATATATATAACTGCAAGATAATTGCACCAAACTTGTTAACTGTGGTTGTATCTTCATGAATAAAGTTTGACTAATTTAAAATTTTTTCCTAAATTTTTAATATTATTTTACAATGATTGTGTTCTCCAATGAGAAAAAAAGCATTGTTATAGTTAGGTACTCTTCCTAATATATACTTTTGATCTTTCTAACTATACTATAAGTTCCATAATGATGGGGATCTTTTATGTCTTGGTAACATCCCAGCCCCCTTTATCCACATTGTGAGTTATCACTCCATACACCTTCATCATAGTCATAATGATTTGGGGTTATTTCTTGCAAAGAATATTTATTCCCAGGCCATTCCTCCAATTCTTATCTAAAGTCTCAAGAGAAGTAATTCTAGGAACATTGAAGAGTCTTCAAATCGCACAAGGGTAAAATCAGTAAGCTCCCCAAAGCTGAAATTCTAATTCTAAGGTTACTCTTGTTCTTAGAATAGGCACTGGGGAACTCTGGGGACTGTCTCCTTGACTGTTCTGCATTTTGTCTGTAATGCATTCTAAAGATCACTCTCCTTGACATTACTCTTCTAAATCAAGCATATAAATTCTACTCAGGAATCAAAGCCACTAGATAGTCTGCATGCATTTACACTGGGGAGGGCAAAGCAGAGGGGAGAGCCCTAGCAGGGCTAGCCTGCTAATAAAACATGACTTTTAACTCCTTGCTCAGGTCTTAAATTCTCTCTCAGTAACAATATTGTATAAGCCAAATGTAACATGTGAATATGCAAAGCTCATCATTTGAAAGAAAAACATCAGCCTTCTCCAATTAGGTACATTTGCTGAAATAAAGGGTGGTACTTATCCTCCATGTAACATGATGTTGCTAAATGAGAAGATCTGTAGTCACATTATACCTTCCAGGGAATGCTTGTCTTGTATGTTTTCTTTGGGTTTTTTCTAGAGCTTCATATCAGACAGCACAACACTTGTACATTTCCAAACTGATTTGCAGGATGATACATTCAGATTCTCAGAGGAAGCCTATAAAACAAATATTCGTTGAGCATCTAATCCAGTCTATGAGCCTTGCCTGAAGGAGATGGGAAAAAAATGACACGGCTTTAACCTCAGAGGGTCTACAGAAAAGGTGAGGGAATAAAACTTATTAATAAAAGTAAAACTTAGGCAATAGTTTCTGGAATATCTATGTCAAGGATTAGGGTTGCCAGATTTTGCAAATAAAAGTACAGAACACCAACTTAAATTTGAATTTCAGAGAGACACTGAATCATCTTTTTATATATTTCACGAGGCATAGTTGTACTAAAAACTTATTTGCTGTTAATCTGGAATTTAAATTTAACTGGCTGTTCAGTATTTTACCTGACAACCCTACCAAGTCACAATTTTTAAACGACTGCTAAGTTAGAATTGAAGAGTATAGAATAGTGATTGACAGAAAAAACAGGAAAGAAATGCAAGATCCACTCAGGTTACAAAGATAATAATTTAGTCCATTAAAAATGGGTAAGAGAAACTGGGTGGATGTGAAACTAATTCCATATAAAATCTTGGTTTAGAATTCCTACTTGACATAGTAGTCAGAATTCTGTTACGAAAGGAACTGACTATATTCATATATGCTGAAGGAGAATCCAGTATGCAATATCCAGAAAGAGATCCTCAATGAAATCCTTTTGACTTCGAGATAACACTGCAGCTGTCCCAATTTGTCACCCTGTAACTTCAACCTGCTCAATTTAGTAAAATTACTCCTTTTTAAGTCAATCAGTGACTACAAATCAAAAACGGTTGTAAATAGTATAGAGACAATGAAGTAAATAAAAACAATAGCATTCACATTTTTGGATAATCGATCAGTGTCATTTACTCATCTACTTATTTTTGAAATATTAATATTGTTCTTAAAATGATTTTAGACTTTCAAGTTTAATTTTGCAAGTGTAAAAGAATTTGATTATGTGGGTTAACTGTACTTAACAAAATAAGAGGAACTGATCTATCTATCAGATTGAATTATTAGATTCACAAGGGTTGCTTAAGACCTAGGGAGAACTTGCACGTGAAGTTATTATGTCTGCCTGTCAGCCATTTGAAATGCTTTTACAAAATTCAAATGTATTAAATCTAGTAAATCATACTTGTTTTTAAATGTTAATCTGTTTAATTTGAGAAATTAAGCATTTATCAAAGAATAAATAAAAAGTATTTTTCCATTTTTATACAAAATCGACTGTATCCATGAATGGAACAAAATGCTAATAAATTAAATTTAAATATTGATATTAATAAGTTAAAATATTGATAAGTTAAACTCAAAGCTTAAGGACATTTAAATTATAACTTAAATTTATTCCATGTAATTTAAACTGAAGCATTTTAATAGTTCTTTCTACGTACATACTATGGACAGTAAAGCCTAAGATGATAATAAGAAGATATTTAAATTCCAGGGAGTCTTACCTTCTTACAATTCTTATAATTACCAGTTCTTACAATATTTTGAAAATAATAAATCTCCTAGTCAGAGTTCAGTAGTTAAGGGGAACTCCGAACACTCTGATTAACATCCTTTGCTTTTTAATATTCTGAAGAATTAATATGGGATAAATTAGACTTAATATTGTAATAATAAAAGCTGCTTAAATTCAACTGTTACTGATATAGTTAATTCCATTTCTCTGAAATCACTTAGTGTACATGCCTGTTTTAGTAAGGATAGCAACAGGAGACAGAAAAATTCTAGGCAGACAGGGGAGGGTCCCTGGCAAAACCTTACCTTCAAGCCAAAAAGCATGAAACCCATGGCCCTAAGTGAGAACTTTCATCCCTATGTGCCCGGTCTCTCCCAATTTGTTCTTTCTGAATACTGCCTTTTAACCAATCGAATGTTGCATTTTCCAAAACTACTAGCAGCCCACCCTGCCCCCATCCTATGCCTATAAAGATCCCAGCCAGCAGAGGATAGAAGCAGCTGGATGTCAGGAAGAATCAGCTGGATGTTGGAGAGAAGCAGCTTGACTCCAGAGATGGCAACTGGACATCAAAGAGAGGCAGTTTGACTTCAGGGGAGAGCGACCTTCCCTTCCCATCCCCTTTTCAGCTCCCCTCTCTGCTGAGAGTTGTCTTCATCACTCAGTAAAATTCTCCACATTCACCATCCTCCAATTTATCCATGTGACCTCATTCCTCTTGGCCACTGGACAAGAATTTGGGATGCATTAGGTGGCAGTACCCAAAAAGGCTGTTACACTAGTCCTTTGCCCTCACTGGCAGATGGCAGCCAGCCCACATGATGAATCAAAGGGCCCACTCAACTGATAACACACCGCTGTCTGCAGATGGCAGAGCTAAAAGAGTACTGTAACACACCCTCTGTGTCCTTGGGGTCACAGGCATCCCATCTGCAGGACCCACATGGAGTTTGCTCCTGCTGGTGCCAAAGCAGCTGGTTCCTGCACTTGCTTGCTCCTGTTCCTGCACTCATCTGCTCGCAAACTCTCTTCCGCAAGGGGATGCGCAGGTGGCCTGAGTAAATGAGGCATTCTTGTCATGACTCCCACAAAGGGGTCAAGAAAATATACTGCATCAATAACGTACCAGAAACAACATTATAGCCACGTAGCAATGAATGAGTATCATTTTAGTGCAATAGAAAGAGCAGTACATGGCTTCTGCAGATAACCCAAGTCTTTAGTTTTTTTCTTTTTAGATCAATTTTATTTTTTAATTGACAAATAATAGTCCTACATATTTATGGTGTACAATCTGATGTTTTGATACATGTATACACTGTGAAATGATCAAATCAGGGTAATTAGTATAGCTATCATCTCAAATATTTAACATTTCTTTGTGGTAAGAACATTTAATATCCTCTTTAGCCTCTCCTGACATAGGGGGACCCAATCTCTAAAAAAATTAAAAAATGAGCCAGACATGGTGGCACACACCTGTGGTCCCAGTTACTTAAGAGGCTGAGGTAGGAGGATCATTTCAGAGATTGAGGCTGCAGTGAGCCATGATAATGCCACTGTACTCCAGCCTGAGTGACAGAGTGAAACCTTGTCCCAATAAAAAGAAATCCTCCCTTTCACCTATTTTGAAACATACAACACATTATTCTTAATGATAGTCAACTTGCTGTGCGATAGAACACCAAAACTTAATCCTCTTATCTAACTGTAACTGTTGACCAATCCTCTTTCCTTGTCCACTTTCCCCCAACCCTCACCTCCACCCCCACCTACCTCTGGCAACTACCATTGTACTCACTTCTTTCATAAGTTTGACTTTTTAAATTCCACATATAAGTAAGATCATACAATATTTGTGTCAAAGACAAATATGCTCTATTCCTGGCTAATTTCATTGAACATAATGTCCTCTAGTTTCATCCATGTCATAAAAAATAATAGGATTAATAAAGTTAGGTTACTAGATTTGAAATTTAATTCCTTCACCAATATTTACTGGGAAATTGTTTAAAATTACAGATTCCTAGGCCCCTTCTCCATTGTTTCAATAATTGAGGGGGGTGGGCAGGAATCTGAATACTCTAAAGTCTCTCCAGTTAATTCTAAAAATTAGGCAGGTAGATATGGAGAATATTGGCCTACAAAGTCCTTTGCTATTCTAAAATTTCATAAGGACAATCTTAAAGACTGAACATAGCCCTTAAAAAAGAAATCATAACCGAATAAAAACTTAATGAAGTGTGTTTTTTAATACTCATTCGAAAAAATGCCTGTTAAAATGCGTATTTTATTATAGATAGAGTCACATATTTTTGCCATAACAACTCAGAGTATCCCCCTGGCTTCTCATTGAAGTTAAGTCACTATACATATTTATCTTATGCCTATGAGACATTTAGGAGAAAGAACTTGGGGTCTTTAATAAATAGTATTCATCCATATTGACCTTTTCTCTTCTGTTATTTCAAGAAAATTCGGCAAGTATTTGGAAATTTAATATTCATTTATTGCATGGGATCATTTCAGCAAGCTTCCCTTGATTTAGACAAAGACAAAATACCTATCCACAATGGTTACCTCTCAAATCTGTTTTTTTTAAACCAAAATATTGCAGACGAATGAAGTGGAATGAAGCCATTCCTGCACAAAGATGTCCAGAGCAAAGAAAAACACATATTTCATAACACAGCTGATTCTCAAAGTCAACATTACATGGTGTTGCCTACAATTCTATGTAAACAGTATATGGGAGTAGACAGCAGCAAGAGAACCTGGTTAGTTTGCAATCTAGTATCTTGGTCCTAATATTTTAGAAACTTGGTTGTTCTCAATGCCTAATTGATGCCCAATTGGTAACAACAGCCTCATTTCAGTTGTTGTTGTTGTTATTGTTTTTCTTCCCTGAGTGGAAAATGGATCAGTGCTTTGGGGCAGCTGAGCTGATTTCTTTTTGAATTGAAAATGGATCCACTTTACACAAAAAAATAATTAGAAACTTCCATATCACACACTGTCATGTGCTAACAGCCTGGAAGACGTGCCCAGTGAAAACAACTGAAAGTGTTGGTTTGGATGTTTTACACACACACACGTGCATGCGTAGATGCCCTGATGTGTGCTGGCAAGTTAGTAAGATCTATCCAGAGGCTAAAAGTCCAAGGAGAAATCCAGAGCAAAAACTGATCTTTATGGTAGAAAACTGGAGCTGTGGTTTTCATTTCCTTTTGGGCAGCAGAAAACAAAAACAAACAAACAAACAAAAAACTAGCCAAAGCACAGGACATTCTAAAATAGGTCTCTCAGTAAATGAGATCTAAAGAATGAACATAAAAGAAACGAATGACCTTCCTCAAATGAGGAAATCCTTGCCTTGGTTCTCAACAGTTACAAAAAAGGAATTTCCTTTGAAAAATTATAACTATAATCTCACCTTCAAAGATATTATAGTCCATTGAAATATTATCTAGATGGCCTGAGGGGGCTTCAGGCAGAGAATTAAGTTGGAGGTGATCTTCATCTAGTGGTCATCAAGGCAGAAGGTGACATGCCCACTACAAATGAAGACCTCAGGTAATTTCCACAAGATTAAACAAACATGAATTTATGATAAAAGTCACAATACACAATGAAATAAGGCACCATGATTGAGAGAAACTACAAACAGCATTTTCAGTCCTATAAACACTATCCGTAATGAAAGACTATCCATGTTGAAATTATTAGACAAATACCATAAAATTTATGTTTAATATGCTAAACACAATATGACAGCATGGAAAATATAAGCAAAATGCAAGAAATCATTTTTAAATGACCAAGCTGACTAAAAATATACCTAAATAGAACTTCTAAAAATAAAAATTACAGTAATTTATATTTAAAGATTAAAAGAACATTGAGTGAACAAAATAAGCTAAATAATTGATAATCTGGAAGATAAATCTACAGTAACTATCATCAAGCAGCCCAAAAAGATAAAGAGATGGGAAATATGAAGAAGTTAAGATACATGGAAAATAGAGAAAATAAAATATAAACAATTACAGAAAGATGAAAGAAAGAAAATTGATTGGAAGTAATATTTGATGTGAATGTTTTGGAACTACTGAATGCCACCAACCACAGATTCAGGAAACCAATCAAAATGTAAACAAAAACAAATATATAAATAAATAAATAACAAAAATCCACAGTTAGATATAGTGAAATTATAAATTACCAATTGAATGAATATGTGGATAACTCTGAACAAATATTTATGTACAAAGTAATAAGAACAACACAAACAATGCCTTACTGAGTTTTAAAATGATTTAGCTTTTATAATTATGTATGGTAAATTTTTAAGTGTCATTTCTAAAAATATGGAAACAGAGTGTGTAACTTCCAGTGAAGTTGAGGGGGTAAAGGATGTAATAAGAAAAATAAGTTGAGGGAAACAAAAAGGAGAGAAACAGAAACATAAGAAGACAGAAAATAAAACATATTAGTCCTCTAAGAAACAGATGCCAAAATGGGATTAGAGGTGCAAATAGATTGGGGAGAAAATGTCTGTGAAAGATAAAGAAGAGAGAGCAAGAAAAGGTGAAATGAGCCATGATGATTGCTGATACAATTGAAGGAACAAGGAAAAGAAAGAAAATTGCATAGGAAAAGTCTTAGATTTAAGTGCAGTTATTTTAAAAAAAAAAAGGTTTTGCCAGGCCAAAGAGGAGTCCCTGATTCAAGTCTGCCATTAGCTATATCTGTGTCTAACAAAAACAGGCTGGCAGGAGCACCCCAGCCATATTCTCTCTTCGGCTGGGAGAAGCCCTGGAGAAGTGTGACTTCTTGAAACAAGAGAGTGGATCCAGAAGGGAAGCACCAAGGGCCATAAGTCAACTAATGTTAAATCTTTCAATTCATCATGTCTATATATATGAACACTATACATATGATAAAAAGCTCAATGTCACTGATCATTAGAGAAATACAAATCAAAACCACAATGAGATACCATCTCACACCAGTCAGAATGGCTATTATTAAAAAGTCAAAAAGCCACAGACGCTGGTGAGGTTGTAAAGAAAAAGGAACACTTTTACATTGTTGGTGGGAGTGTAAATCAGTTCAACCATTGTGGAAGACAGTGTGGTGATTCCTCAAAGACCTATAGGCAGAAATACGACTTGACCCAGCAATCCCATTACCGGGTCTATATCCAGAGGAATATAAATCATTCTATTATAAAGATATATGCCCACGTTTGTTCAATGCAGCACTATTCACAATAGCAAAGGCATGGAATCGACCTAAATGTCCATCAATGATAGACTAGATAAAGAAAATGTGATATATATATACCATGGAATACAATGCAGCCATAAAAAGAAACAAGATCATGTCCTTTTCAGGGACATGGATAGAGCTGGAAGCCATTGTCCTCATCAAACTAATGCAGGAACAGAAAACCAAACCCCTCATGTTCTTACTTTATAAAGTGGGAGCTGAATGATGAGAACACATGGAGGGGAACAATACACACAGAGGCCTTTTGGAGGGTGAGGGTTGGGAGGAGGGAGAACACCAGGAAAAATAGTTAGTGGATGCTGGGCTTAATACCTAGGCAATGGGATTTGTGCAGCAAATAATCATGGCACACATTTACCTATGGGGCAAACCTTCACATACTCCACATGTACCCCAGAGCTTAAAATAAAAGCTGGAAATAAAAAAAAGAAAGTGCTAAACTGTCTTACAAAGTGGCTGTACCATTTTGCATTTCACCAGCATAAACAAGGGTTTCTATTGCTCCACTTCTTCATCAGCAGTTCATATTATCACTTTTTAAAAATTTTTGCCTTCCTAATTAGTACGTATTATTTTATCATTTTTTCCTTTTTTTTTTTTTTTTTCCAGACAGGGTCTCATTCTGTTGCCCAGGTTGGAGTGCAGTGGCACAATCAGGGCCCACTGCAGCCTTGACCTCCCTGGCTCAGGTGACACTCCCACCTCCGCCTCCTGAGTAGCTGGGACTAGTGGCACACTTTGCCATGACTGGCTAGTTTTTTTTTTTTTCTTTTTTCTTTCTTATGTATGTATGTATGTATGCATTTATTTATTATTTGTGGAGATGGGGTTTTGCTATGTTGCCTAGGCTGGTCTCCAACTCAAGCAATCTGCCACCTTGGCCTCCCAAAGTGCTGAGATTATAGGTATGAGCCACTGTGCCCAGCAGCTCATTGTTTTCTTTTTTGTTTTTTCTTTTCTTTTTTTTTTTGAGACGGAGTCTTACTCTGTTGCCCAGGCTGGAGTGCAGTGGTATGATCTCGGCTCACTGCAGCCTCTGTCTTCCGGATTAAGCAATTCTCCTGCCTCAGCCTCCCGAGTAGCTGGGATTACAGGCATACGCCACTACGCCCAGCTAATTTTTATATTTTTAGTAGAGATGTGTCTCACCATGTTGGCCAGGCTGGTCTCAAACTCCTGACCTCAAATTATTCACCCTCCTCAGCCTCCCAAAGTGCTGGGATTAGAAGGGTGAGCCACCGCTCACGGCCCCATTGTTTTCTTAATTTTCATTTTCCCAGTGACAAATTGCAAAAGACAAAAGTCTGTGGCTTGTCTTCATTTTCTTAACAGTAACTTTTGTGGAGAGGTTTTTAAGTTTAATAACATTCAACTTAGCAATTTTTTCATCTATCATGCTTTTGATGTTGTATCTAAAAATTCATCATCAAACCCATGTTACCTAGATGTTCTAGTTTTTGTTTTAAGTTTTATACTTTTGTGCTTTGAACCATTTTTGTATGTGTGTGTGAAAGGTATAAGATTTGTGACTATCGCTTCTCGACCTTTTGGCTAAGATCAGGTGAAGATTTGTGTCTAGGCCCCTGCTTTGTGCGTGTTCATCTCCAGTTCTTCTAGCAAAAATTGTTTAAAGACTATTATTTCTCTATTGAATTGCCTACCAAATATCAGTTTATTATTTAGAGTGTTTCTATTTTTGAGCTATTTTGTTCCATTGGTCTATGTTTCCATTACTTCACCAATACCATGATGTGCTAATTGCAGCAACTTTCATAAACCTTGACATTAGGTATTATAGTGCTTCAACTTTGTTCTTTTTCAGGACTAAGTAGTAGAATTTATTCAGGGAAGTGGTTATTGCTGATGGAGAAGGGATACACAAATGACTTCAAAGTAATGGTAATTTATTATTTATTTAAATTAGGTCATAAATAGGTGTTCTTCATACTTTGTGTATGTTTTATAAGTATTTCTTTGTATATTCTTAGCATTACATAACAACTTAAAAACATTTCAGCTTGAATCCAACTTTATGCATCTATGAACACTTGCAATGCACAAAGGACTCACCAAACCCTTGTGGAAGGAGGAAGCATGTGGGATGAAGGCATTTTTTGGCCACTTGTTGACTCTAACAGCACTGAAGTCTCACTAAATGGATAGAGCTCAGAGATGGCTAACAGTTTAAAACAATTATATTTAAACAATTATTTCTCTAAATGTTGCATAGGAAAAAATAAATTTGTGTAGGAATGTTGAACAGAAACAGGAAGACTGTCAAGAAGAGTGACAATGGCATTTGGTCCTTAATTAAAATTCAATTATCCAAATCTGAATATATTACTTTCCTTTTTCATTGCTAACCATTGCATAGTAAATAACGCCATGCTCTTTATCACATATAATATTGTTACTCATAAACACACGTTAAAAATTAATAACATTAAGTGTTTACTATGTTCCAAGTTTCTTTCTAAATGCTGCATGTAGGAGCTCATTTCATCCTCACAGCAAGCCTATGAAGTATTATCAACATTTAAGCAGTTAGAAAAGTAGGGCAGTTCTTTGAATCCAGGACACTTGTATTCTACTTACTAAATGCATTTGATGTTGACAATGATAATACACATTTTATATCCATCTATTATCTAAATACCACTGGCCAATGCTGTGAGGATAAAAGAGTCGATGAAACAGACTTTTCACTAAAGCAAATCAAAACTCTAACAGAATGTAATGAAGTAAACCTACATGGACTAACTAGAAAACAATGCAGACAGAAAATTCTACACCCGTTCTCAGAGATTTATTACTGTGCATAGGTGTTTACAGAATTTAGAAAATGAAACAAAAATGAAACAAAACTGTGGATTTGGGAGGACAGAGAAGATTGATCTCTATGAGCTGAAAATTCCTAAAAATCAATAAAGACACTTTAGTTACCTTACTACTATTAAACAAAAAATATGGGAAGTCATTGTTTTAGGCTGAGGTCCTGTACTAAGCCCCAACAGACCAGACCAAATCAGAAAGGAGTCACTCATGCTAAATACCACATTATCAAACAGAAACTTCAAGGAAGCAACTAGATCCCAAAACAGATCAGTTTGTCACTTCTGCTTTAGCTTTGACAAAAAAGTAACCTGATGTTATCCAATCCATTTTTTTTCTATTGTTTCATTTCTTAGTGTCTAACTTATAAAATGCACTCTTCTACTATTGACCAGGGAACACTTTCTTCTTATTTTGTAGAATGGATGCTGCTTCAATCATGAATTTTGAATAAAAGCCACTTAGCTTTATAACTAAATTTGCTGTAATGTTGTCTTGTGACATTATCTTGCTTTCACTTTTCTTTGCACACAGTAGGTGTTCAATACATAGCTAAAGAATTAAAAAACAACACAAAAGAAAAAATAATGGAGGAATTGAATTTTAGTTGGTGCTTAAAAAGAGTGAGCTTTCCTGTGCAGAAGAGAAGATCTAATAAGAGTAACTGAATGAGAAATATAATGTTGAAACACTGGAATAAAATGTAATGTGTGACCCACATGATCCCTCATACTTTAGAACTTGTTCCTTTGTTAAATATTTATCCTCGTCTCACTGTGACACCACAGCTTCTTTAGGACAGGGGCCACATATTTTACTTATTGCAGCACTTCTCATAGTACTCCTTATAAGTTAGAATTCAATAAACACTGACTTTCTGGAGACTGAGAATTTCTCTCTCTTTTCTTATTGCCTTTGTTCCTGAGAATTACATTGCCTCACAGAAGACTAACACATGAAATCAATTACCTTCTCATTTACATTATTCTATTTATAGTTTTTTTCTAATTTCATGGGACCATACAAAAATTTCTCAAGAAAATCATTCACTTATGAAATACTAGAAAATTCCTGCATGAAATATTGAAGAGAATAATTTATCATATTTGCAAGTTTTTAAAAAAGTATAGCTGTCATACCCCAAAATAAAAGGACCAAGGCTCTCTAGAGAAGTGGCTCATTCCAGGGCTGGGACAGGCAAAATCCTGGAGTATACTGCAGTGCTAAAAAGTAAAGAAAGGCCAAAAATTAAAAAATGGAATATGCTGAAAGACACAGGAGCCAACCTGAAAAAGTTCCCAATGGCCAAAGGTAGAACCACTTGAATAATAAAATAAATGTTGATAGCTCTGATTTTAACTAAATATTCATAAATAAGTGAATGAATAAATATGCGAGAAAGGGCAACCCTTAGAGGAGAATTATAATGAAAACATGTAGAACGAATTACAGAAACAGAAAATCAGCATTGGAAATCCTCAATGATGATGGCTGCAGGCAAGATCTACCAATGAGTGCCAAAAATAGTGGGTTAAAACTGAATGAGAAACGGGATATTTGCACAGACTCAAAGTAGCTCTCTTAAAATATTTATCTTTCTAATTGTAGACAGCAATATTTACCATACAGTGAAGAAACCTGGCAAATACCACTGTAGACAAACGATCAAGGTTAATATCACCACTAAGAAAATCATCATGCACTGTCTCATAATGAACTGAAGTCATATCACTTCTGTGCTTTTCTTCCCAATAAGGAGATACTGCGCATAGGTGTAGAGTTAATCATGAGAAAATATTAACCAATCCCAAACTGAGGGACATTCTACAATACTAGACCAGTACTCTTCAAAAGTATCAAGATTAGGAAAGACAAGGAAAGACTGAGGAACTGTCATAGACTGGAGGAGACTAAGGAGCCACCACACCTAGATGCAATGTGAGATCCTAAATTGGATCCTGAAATAGGTAAGGAATATCAGTTAAAAAAAAAAAAAGCTGATAAAATCTAAGTCTATAACTTCATTTTTTGGTTATTTTTTTAAGGTGATTATTGTTATGCTGTTTTTTGTACTATAATAATTATTCTGTATATGTCAATTTTGATTTTTTAGTGGATTGGATTTCTCATGAATGGGAAAATAAATCTGTATAATAATACTAATTAAGGACTTTCTCACTAATTTCATGTCCTGAGCAAAATTATTTGTGAAAAATATTTTTTCCAGTCTTTTATTGAAGGGAACTAGAGGTAAATAACTTCGTAATGTCTGCAGGTAAGTTTGCTTTTGGCAAGATTTGCATGAAGGGTTGTTGAATTTTGTCGAAGGCCTTTTCTGCATCTATTGAGATAATCATGTGGTTTTTGTCTTTGGTTCTGTTTATATGCTGGATTACATTTATTGATTTGTGTATATTGAACCAGCCTTGCATCCCAGGGATGAAGCCCACTTGATCATGGTGGATAAGCTTTTTGATGTGCTGCTGGATTCAGTTTGCCAGTATTTTATTGAGGATTTTTGCATCAATGTGCATCAAGGATATTGGTCTAAAATTCTCTTTTTTGGTTGTGTCTTCTCTGCCCGGCTTTGGTATCAGGATGATGCTGGCCTCATAAAATGAGTTAGGGAGGATTCCCTCTTTTTCTATTGATTGGAATAGTTTCAGAAGGAATGGTACCAGTTCCTCCTTGTACCTCTGGTAGAATTCGGCTGTGAATCCATCTGGTCCTGCACTCTTTTTGGTTTGTAAGCTATTGATTATTGCCACGATTTCAGAGCCTGATATTGGTCTATTCAGAGAGTCAACTTCTTCCTGGTTTAGTCTTGGGAGGGTGTATGTGTTGAGGAATTTATCCATTTCTTCTAGATTTTCTAGTTTATTTGCATAGAGGTGTTTGTAGTATTCTCTGATGGTAGTTTGTATTTCTGTGGGATCGGTTGTGATATCCCCTTTACCATTTTTTTATGGTGTCTATTTGATTCTTCTCTCTTTTCTTCTTTATTAGTCTTGCTAGTGGTCTATCAATTTTGTTGATCCTTTCAAAAAACCAGCGCCTGGATTCATTAATTTTTTGAAGGGTTTTTTGTGTCTCTATTTCCTTCAGTTCTGCTCTGATTTTAGTTATTTCTTGCCTTCTGCTAGCCATCCCCATCAAGCTACCAATGACTTTCTTCACAGAATTGGAAAAAACTACTTTAAAGTTCATATGGAACCAAAAAAGAGCCCACATCATCAAGTCAATCCTAAGCCAAAAGAACAAAGCTGGAGGCATCACACTACCTGACTTCAAACTATACTACAAGGCTACAGTAACCAAAACAGCATGGTACTGGTACCAAAACAGAGATATAGATCAATGGAACAGAACAGAGCCCTCAGAAATAACGCTGCATATCTACAACTATCTGATCTTTGACAAACCTGAGAAAAACAAGCAATGGGGAAAGGATTTCCTATTTAATAAATGGTGCTGGGAAAACTGGCTTGCCAAATGTAGAAAGCTGAAACTGGATTCCTTCCTTATACCTTATACAAAAAGTAATTTAAGATGGCTTAAAGACTTAAACGTTAAGACCTAAAACCATAAAAACCCTAGAAGAAAACCTAGGCAATACCATTCAGGACATAGGCATGGGCAAGGACTTCATGTCTAAAACACCAAAAGCAATGGCAACAAAAGCCAAAATTGATAAATGGGATCTAATTAAACTAAAGAGCTTCTACACAGCAAAACAAACTACCATCAGAGTGAACAGGCAACCTAAAAAATGGGAGAAAATTTTCACAACCTACTCATCTGACAAAGGGCTAATATCCAGAATCTACAATGAACTCAAACAAATTTACAAGAAAAAAACAAACTACCCCATCAAAAAGTGGGCAAAGGATATGAACAGACACTTCTCAAAAGAAGACATTTATGCAGCCAAAAAACACATGAAAAAATGCTCACCATCACTGGCCATCAGAGAAATGCAAATCAAAACCACAATGAGATACCATCTCACACCAGTTAGAATGACGATCATTAAAAAGTCAGGAAACAACAGGTGCTGGAGAGGATGTGGAGAAATAGGAACACTTTTACACTGTTGGTGGGACTGGAAACTAGTTCAACCATTGTGGAAGTCAGTGTGGCCATTCCTCAGGGATCTAGAACTAGAAATACCATTTGACCCAGCCATCCCATTACTGGGTATATACCCAAAGGACCATAAATCATGCTGCTATAAAGACACATGCACACGTATTTTTATTGTGGCACTATTCACAATAGCAAAGACTTGGAACCAACCCAAATGTCCAACAATGATAGACTGGATTAAGCAAATGTGGCACATATACACCACGGAATACTATGCAGCCATAAAAAATGATGAGTTCATGTCCTTTGTAGGGACATGGATGAAATTGGAAATCATCATTCTCAGTAAACTATCGCAAGAACAAAAAACCAAACACCACATATTCTCACTCATAGGTGGGAACTGAACAATGAGAACACATGGACACAGGAAGGGGAACATCACACTCTGGGGATTGTTGTGGGGTGGGGGAAGGTGGGAGGGATAGCTTTAGGAGATATACCTAATGCTAAATGATGAGTTGATGGGTGCAGCACAGCAGCATGGCACATGTATACATATGTAACTAACCTGCACATTGTGCACATATACCCTAAAACTTAAAGTATAATAATAATTTAAAAAAAAAAAAAAGATTTGCAGCCAGCCGTGTGAACACTCTCAGCAGCTGTTCAAGTGTTCACGCCTTCTGCGTGCTCAGTCATGTCACAGCATGGGTATGACTCATTCTACCAAGACACTCCTCATACTGGCTATACTCAGATTCCCCTTTATAAAGCAAATATTCATTTATTTATTTTACAAAACCTGTATTATTCTATATTACAATGCAAAAGGTTGGCCAGGGTTGGAGGTTCTTTTGTCTGCCTTATGATTGCTGGGAGGATGTATAATTTCTGTTCAGCCCTCTTAAGTTGGAACAGACCTCTGCAGCAGGAAACAGATTAACAAGAGAAAGACAAGCAAGTTTATTAATGTTTGCAGGGCACATCTCATGGGAGAAACTGCTATGAAAAATAACTCAAACCAGTGGTTTTAGAACTTCGGCTTATATAGCATCTTCAACAAAGAACAGTAATTTTAGAGAAGTGGCAAGACAAAGGAAAGCAGTTTTTAGGCTCACAGAGGTGAGAAACTGTGGGAAGATAAACATATGGGAAGAAGTTAATGGAGTAATGTTTGTAGATTCCTCTAGTACCATCTCTGAGCTGATACGAGTTATTTTCTCATCTTAGTACAAGGGAGCCATCCTTCCCACAAGAATTTTTATGGCTTGCTACATGTAGGAAAGGGCAGGTAAGATAGCTCCTTCTGCAACTGCTATTTTTCCAGTGCCTTCAGTTCAAAATGATCAGTATGCTAAATCAGCATATTTTGGGGTGGCATGTTCTGGTTTCCTTCACTATATACTATTTCTCTAGCATCATGTAAATGCTGCAAAATCTGTAAATTACTAAATATACTAAAATATAGTACAGAGTAATCAAAATATTGCAATGATTATAGACATTCAGTGATTTATGGCTTTGGAAAATTCCAAAGAAAGGAAAATGAGGAAAAGTCCTAAACAACAAAATAGAAAAGCTCTTTCACACACACAGACATACACACACACACGTACACACATTGCACACTTCATGATGTTAAGAATACATTACTGGTATTAATGGATCATGTTTATAAAACAAGATAAAATTATGACCTTAATACAACTATTAGGTAAATGAATATATGTCTAAGATTTTATCTAACATATTAATTAGTGACAAAACCGATAAGATGCTAAAACCAATTCAAAGGAAAATCCAAAAAAATGTATATGTGTAGGCAATACATACTGTAGTCAATCTAGGCAATCGACAATGTTGACATGAATTTACAAATAGATGTTAAACTGATCAATATCCACAGGACAAATTTTATTTGTTTTTATATGGATAAGAAATCATTTGCATTACAATTGGTTTTCAGCACAGAATTACAAAATATCTTTAAGGCAATGAAAAGTGCAGATAAACAAGAAGGGTATGTTAGATAGGACATCAGTAATCTTTAGGCTCAGTTTCAACATCATTCACAATATATACTAATACTGGGTACATCAATGAAAATCTTCCTCTACCTTTCACTGACTAGCCCAATTATTCATTCATTTTATAAATAAAATATATTTATTAAACTTTTACTACATGTCATGCACTATCCCAAGCTCTAAGCTTATAAAGTTAAATACTGTGAAGGTTCTGAGTTTTATCCTGCTGGCAAGGTAACTAGTTAGCCTTCCACAGTTTTATATACATATGCTGCAGAATAAACCCTCAGTCAGAAACACAGTTTTTGTTTATTTGTTTGTTTTTGTTTTTGTTTTTTGAGGCGGAGTCTCGCTCTGTCGCCCAGGCTGGAGTGCAGTGGCGCGATCTCGGCTCACTGTAAGCTCCGCCTCCTGGGTTCACGCCATTCTCCTGCCTCAGCCTCCCAAGTACCTGGGACTACAGACACCCGCCACCATGCCCAGCTAATTTTTTGTATTTTCAGTAGAGACAGGGTTTGACCGTGTTAGCCAGGATGGTCTCGATCTCCTGACCTCGTGATCTGCCCGCCTTGGCCTCCAAAGTGCTGGGATTACAGGTGTGGGCCACTGCGCCCCGCCGAAACACAGTTTTTTACAGTAAAAATCATCAGCAAGAACAATGTCTTAGTCACACTTCCCAGTGCTGCTATCCCCGTAGGGCAATGGGATGAAGGCAGATGTTAACCTGTGGATGTAGTAAGTTTGCATCACAGGGGAGGGACCCTAAAATTTAGAGCCTCTTAGTTATAGACTGCTGACACATGACCATCTTCCTCTCCAAAGACAGAGATTACTCATTAAATACATTTCATAGGGGAAAGAGAAACGGCATCTCTGTAGAAAGAGATTTTATCTTTAGGAGGACACAATTTCTAGATTCCAAGGCTTTCTGGTATGCAAAATTCTTAACAGCACCCTTTGCTCAGAAGGCCTGGACCATGCAGGAATATGATATAACCATAATGAATTATCTCACAACATAAACTACTAAAAGAAAGATCTTCAGTTTTAGTATATTATATTAAAATAATCACAGTACAGGATGTTTACTTGGGATATTTATTTGCACTAAGACTGTGGAAGCAAAGAAGAAAAGGAATGCCTAATCTGTTTGTGGGCGTCAAGAGAATATTCCAAAGAGGTCAAAATTTTAATATTGAAATGAAATGGGCTAAAATGAAAAGAATGTCTAAGAAATGCCTGAGCTTGTTGATATGGAAAGCATTTCAACAGGAAGAAATAGTATGTGCATTGGAAAGGAATTTGGAAAGAGAGTGTTATTTGTTGAAGAGAAGCAGTTTAACATTCTTCAGTTATGAAGTACCAGGAGACAGAATAAACACAGATGTAGAATCTATACTGTGAAGAGCATTGTATAATATAAAAATTAGTTGGATGTAATATGTTTTTGGCAATGTGTAAACACAGAAAAATGTTGGTCAGAAAAAAAAGGATTATGTTTTTAGGTGTGAAAGAATTTTCTGGCAAAACATTGTTGAGCCTGGAGAAGTAAGGCAAGAAGCAAAAAGGGAACAAATTCTTCTTTTAACCCACGATCTTAAAAAATATACAGTAAACCGACACTTTGATTGATTTGATATTGTTATGTACACAGATTACCTTTACAGAAATACCAAACATTCATAGCTATAAACCTGCTTTGATGGGACCAGAACAATTCTTATGCTCTTATTGTAGATTATGCCAAGTTGTGGAATTACAATTTGAGATTCTTATATCTCGAAAAATAAATTATATGTGTAATTATCTCACACTTTAGTTGAAATAAATTTACATAGCAAACTCAAGAGTTTTGTCATCTAACATAAATCTGATCATAGTTTGTCCCACTTTGAGAAAAAACTGGAACTTTTTACTCCACAACATATTCCTATTTTAAAGCTGACTGGAACATCAGATTAAAAGCCTTCCTTTACACTGTATGTTTTAACTAAAATTACTAAAACAGGTATTTACATTTTGTGTGTAGAGGAAGATTCCCTAAAGAATAACAAGTTGGACTGATGGTCTTATGTTTTTCATTGTAGATAATAACCTGAGGTTCAGGTCAAAGCCAAGGTGAAAATCCAGGAAATGTTAGACAGAGAGGGCAAATTGCATCTTTTACTTACTCATTTTTGAGATAATTTAAAATTTTTTTCCAAAGCATTAATCATTTATTAAGTACTAATTTTTATGCTAAATACAGGGGATATATATAAAAAATTAAAATAAAAAAAAACCTTTTGGCCGGGCGTGGCGGCTCATACCTGTAATCCCAGCACTTTGGGATGCCAGAGCGGGCAAATCATGAGGTCAGGAGATCGAGACCATCCTTGCCAACATGGTGAAACTCTGTCTGTACTAAAAATACAAAAATTAGCTGGGCGTGGTAGTGCATGCCTGTAATCCCAGCAACTCGGGAGGCTGAGGCAGGAGAATCACTTGAACCAGGGAATAGGAGGTTGCAGTGAGCCGAGATCGCGCCACTGCACTCCAGCCTGGCAACAGAGTGAGACTCCATCACAAAAAAACAAAACAAAGCCGAAAACCACTTTTAAGGAGTATCTCTGCCCTCATTACATTTACAGTTGTAAGAATCTAAGTTTAAATATTAAAAATTCAGAGCAGAGACAGATGTTGAGGAAAGGGTGGATAGACAATACAAAGCCTACTTTGCCAAGAGTAGAGAAGTCTGGTAGGGAATAAACATGGGGGTATTAGAATTGTGGTAACACTCAGAGCACCTAACTCTCTGCCTACTATTCAAAGTTCATAAGATGTCTGTGTTGGTAATCTCCTTATTCTTTCAAGCATTTATTTAATCCTTATGTGCCATATGAAAAATGATGCTCAAAACCAATGTAGGGAGAAAGGCAACAACTCTTATAAGAGTTGTAATATAATATATAATAATATAAGATCCAACAGTTGTATCCCAGGTCTTCATTCCACTCTCCACTCCCCCATAATAATTTACTTGAGAAGTTGTTTCAGTTCTTTCTAAATTCTGGTCCCTTGTCTGTCAGTCTATTCTCTAGGTAAAATTCCATGTGTGTGCCACCTCTTAATAAATCCACAATCTAGACACTGGGATCAGCCCTGAAGCATGGGTTTCAATTCCTCCAATTTCTTCTCCTTGCTCAAATGCCAATTGTGTTTTTCATTTCCAGGCTTTAAACATTGCTGTTTATCCAAAATTTATCTTATTCATAAAAAGGACCCTCTACTCAAAATTCTAATCTTTGTTTCTATTTGAACCCACCATTTCATACTGTATTGTTATAACAATATAATAATATTAACTATATTACTGCTAAAAATGTATAAGCAATAAAATATTATTTTCTGATGATATATATACTGTCTGCTTAGAATAATTTCTAGTAATTATTCTTTTAGCCTTTACTACTGTCTAACAGGCTAGATGTAGTTAGAATATAAGGCTTTACCTCTATCAGAAAAATGTTTAAATCTACCCTTCCATTGGGTGATGCAATTTATGCAAAGAGGGAGTTTTATGTCAGTGCTTGTCTCTTTTGAGTGAGAATAGAGTCAATATGCAATGAGAGCAAGATGGCAGAATTGAAGGCTCCAACAATCATCTCCTCCCATCACTCCCACCCCACGAACACTAGTCTAACAACTGTCTACACAAAAAAACCATCTTCATAAGAACCAAAAATCAGGTGAGCAGTCACAGTACCTGGTTTTAACTTTGTATCACTGAAAGAGGCACTGCAAAGGTCAAAAACCAGTCTTGAAGAGCCAAGGCCACCCTTCCCCCACCCACAACAGCAGCAACGGGCTTCAGAGAGCATTTCATGTGCTGCGGGAGAGACAGCATAGTAATTGTGAGGCATCACATCAGCGCTGTTCTAGCATAGCAGAAAAGAAATCCAGAAAAATCTCAGCTGAAGCCCATCCATGGAAGAAGCATTTAAACCAGTCCTAGTCGGAGGAGAATCGCGGATCCCGCTGGCCTGAACTTGAGTTCCCACAAGCCTCGCCACTGTGGGCTAAGGTGCTGTAAGGCTCTAAATAAACATGAAAGGCAGTCTAGGCCACAAGGACTGCAAGACTTAGGTGAGTCCTAGTGCCAAACTGGACCCAGAAGGAGTAGACTAGGGGGCACACGACCTACTGAGGCACCAGCTGGAGCTGCTAAGAGAGCTCTGGCATCGCCACTTCCCTAACTCTAGGCTGCACAGTTTGCCGCTCTGAAAGAGACCCCTTCCTTTTGCTTGAGGAGGCAAAAGGGAAAAGTGGGGAGGACTTTGTCTTGCATATTGGCTACCAGCTCAGCCGCGGCAGGACAGGGTATCAATCGGAGACCTGAGGCCCCTGTGCCAGACTCTACCTCCTGAACAACATTTCTAAACATACCCTGGGCCAGAATGGAACCTACTGCCTTGAAAGGATGGGCCCAGTCCTGGCAGCATTCATCACCTGCTTTCTGAAGAACCCTTGAACTCTGAAAAACCAGCAGGGATATGCAGGTACTACATTGAGAGCTTTCCGTGAGAGTCTGAGACTTGCTGGTGTCAGGTGAGACTCAGTACATTCCTAGCTGTGGTGGCTATGGGGCAAGACTCCTGCCTGAGAAAAGCAGGAGGAGAAATAAAAGGGACTTTATCTTGCATCTTAGGTACTAGTTTGGCCAATGGGGGATAGAGCACCAAGTGAGCTCTTGGGGTCCCCGATTCCAGGACTTGGATCTTGGAAGGCATTTCTTTTTTAAAAGTTTTTTATTTAAAATTTTTTGTGGGTACATAGTAGGTGTATATATATTTACAGGGTACATAAGATGTTTTGACACAGCCAGGCAGTGTGAAATAAGCACATCATGGAGAAGAGGGTAACTATCCCCTCAAGCATTTAGCCCTTGAGTTACAAATAATCCAATTACAGTATTTATTTTAAAATATACAATAAAATTATTATTCACTATAGTTACCCTATTGTGCTATCAAATAGTAGGTCTTACTAATTATTTCTATTTTTTCTACCTGTTAATCATTCTCACCTTCCCCAAAATCTCCCACTACACTTCCTAGCCTTCGGTAAGCATTCTTATACACTCTATGTCCATGAGTTCAATTAATTTGATTTTGACATCCCACAGATAAGTGAGAATATGTGATGTTTGACTTTCAGTGCCTGGCTTAGTTCACTTAACATAACGATTTCTAGTTCCATCCTCGTTGTTGCAAATGACTGCATCTCATTCTCTTTTATGACTGAATAGTACTCTATTAAATATATGTACAACATTTTTGTATCCATTCATCTGTTCATGGACACTTAGGTTGCTTCCCAATCTTACAGCCTGTTAAAAGTGCAGCATCAAAAATAGGAGTGCAGATTTCTCTTTGATATACTGATTTCATTTCTTCTGGATATATACTCAGCAGTGAGATTGCTAGATCATATGTAGCTCAATTTTTAGTATTTTGAGGAACCTGCAAACTGTTCTTCATAGTGTTTATACTAATTTACATTCCCACCAACAGTATTTCTTTTTCTCCACATCCTCTCCACATCCTCACCAGCATTTGGTATTGCCCGTCTTTTGAATAAAAGCCATTTTATCTGAAGTGAGACAATATATCATTGTAGTTTTGAATTGCATTTCTCTGGTTATCAATAATATTGAGCACCTTTTCGTATGTCTGCCATTTGTACATTATCTTTTGAGAAATGTCCCTTCAAATCTTTTGCCCATTTTTAATCAGATTATTGGATTTTTTTTCCCTATAGAGTTGTTTGAGCTCCTTATATATTCTGGTTATTAGTCCCTTGTCAGAGGGGTTGTTTGCAAATATTGTCTCCCATTGTCAGGGTTCTCTCTTCACTTTGTTGATTGTATCCTTTGGTGTTCAGAAGCTTTTTAACTTGATGTGATCCTGTTTGTCCCTGTTTACTTTGTTTGCCTGTGCTTGTAGTGTACTGCTTAAGAAGTCTTTGCCCTGACCAATGTCCTGGTAATTTCCCCCAATTTTTTGTTGTAGTAGTTTCATAGGCTGAGGTCTTAGATTTAAGCCTTTAATCCATTTTGATTTGATTTTTGTATATTGTGAAAGATAGGGTTCTACTTTCATTCTTTTGCATATGGATATCAGCTTTTTCTAGCATCATTTATTGAAGAAACTGTCTTTTCCCCAATGTATGTTCTTGGCACCTTTGTCAAAAATGAGTTCACTCTAGGTGTGTGAATTTGTTTCTGGGTTCTCTATTCTGTCCCATTGGTCTGTGTGTCTTTTTTTTTTATGTCGGTACCATGTTGTTTTGGTTACTACGGCTCTGTAGTATAATTTGAAGTCAGGTAATGTGATTACTCCAGTTTTCTTCTTTTTTGCTTAGGATAGCTTTGGCTCTTCTGGGTCTTGTGTGATTCTATGTAAGTTTTAGGATTGTTTTTCTATTTATGTAAATAATGCCATTGGTATTTTCATAGACATTGCATTGAATCTGTAGATTGCTTTAGGGAGTATGAAGATTTTAAAAATACTAATTTTTCCAATCCATAAACATGGAATATTTTTCTATTTTTTGGTGTCCTCTTCAATTTTCTTTATCAGTGTTTTATAGTTTTCATTATAGAGATCTCTCACTTCTTTGTTAATTTTTAGGTAATTTTATGTGTGGCTATTGTAAATGGGATTACTTTTTATTTCTTTTTCACACTGTTCACTGTTGGTCTATAGAAATGCTACTCACTTTTGTATGTTCAGTTTATATCCTGTAACTGTACTGAATTTATCAGTTCTAATACATTTCTTGTGGAGTCTTTAGGTTTCTCCAAATATAAAATCACACTGATAGGGGGTAGAGAAATTCTAGGCAGAAAAGGGCGGGTCCCTGGTGAAGCCTGACCTTCAAGCCAAAAAGCCTAAAACCCATGGCCCAAAGTGAGAATTTCTATCCCTGTTTTCCAGCTCAAATGTTGCCTTTTCCTAAACCACCCATGGCCCTGCCTCACCTCATCCTGTGTCTATAAATACCCTAGACTCAGCCAGCAGAAGGAAGAAGCAGCTGGACATCAGTGACTATGGCTGGATGTCAGAGAGAAGCAGCTGGACTTGAGAGCTACAGCTTGATGGCATAACTTCAGGGAAAAATCCGGCCGGAGATGGTCAGTCTTCAGAGGAAGATTGCCTACCCCCTCCCCGTCACCTTTTCAGCTCCCCTTCCCACTGAGATCCACTTTCATTGGCAATAAAATCCCCCACATTTACAATCCTTCAATTTGTTTGTGCAACCTCATTTCCCCTGGATGCTGGACAAGAGCTCAGGAGCCAGGAGCACAGATACAACAGGCTGTCACACTAGCCCTTTGCTCTCAATGGCAGAGGCCAGTTGACTCAACAAAAGGGCAGAGGACCCACTGAGCTGTAAACAATTAAGCCGTCTGCAGATGACAAAGCTAAAGGAGCATTGTAACATGGTCCCTGGGGCTTTGGGAGTCACAAGCACCCCGCCTGGATGCTGCTGGAAGGCCTGCATAGAGTTTGCTCCTGATGGCAACCAAAAGTGCTTGCTCTGGCTCCTGCACCTGCTCACCTGCATGCTCCCTCCTGTGAGGGGTGAAACGCAGTAGGTCCAAGTGAATGGAGTTTGATCCCACTGGCACCAAGGCAGCAGGCTGATTCCAGCACTGATGCACTCGTATTCCAGTTTTGCCCACTCATGTGCTCCCTCCGAGAAGGAGATGAGTGTGGCAGGCTGAGTAAACAAGGCACCTCTCTTACAAGTCCTGCAAAAACATCAGGGAAATATCCTGCTTCAATATCATCTGCAAACAAGAATAATTTAACTTATTTCTTTTCAGTCTGGATGCCCTTTATATCTTTCTCTTGTCTAATTGCTCTAGCTAGGACTTGCAGTACCATGATGAATATCAGTGGTGACAGTGGGCATCTGTGTCATATTCCAGATCTTAGAGGAAAGGCTATCAGTTGCTCCCTAGTCACTATGATACTAGCTGTGGGTCTGTCATGCACAGCTTTTATATGTTCATGTATGTTCCTTCTATACACAGTTTTTTGAGAGGTTGTCTTATGAAGAGATGTTGAATTTAATCCAATGCTTTTCAAGTATCAGTTGAAATGATCACATGGTTCTTATCCTTCGTTCTGTTGATATGATGTATCACATTGATTGATTTTCATATGTTGAACTATCCTTGCATCCCAAAGATAAATCCAACTAGGTCACAATGAATGATCTTTCTAATGTACTGCTGAATTTAATATGCTAGTATTCTGTTGAGGACTTTTGTATCAATATTCATCAGAGATATTGGCTTGTAGTTTTTTATTTCATATGTCTTTGGTCTTGGTATCAGGGTAATAATGGCCTCATGGAATGAGTTTTGAAGTATTTCCTCCTCCTCTATTTTTCTGAATAGTTTGAATAGGATTGGTATTACTTTTCTGTAAATGTCTGGCAGAATTCAGCGGTGAAGCCATCAGGTCCTAGGTTTTTCTTTACTGGCAGATTTTTTTATTATGGCTTCGATCTCGCTACTTGTTATTGGTCTGTCCAGGATTTAGCTTCCTTCCTGGTTCAATCTTGATAGATTGTATGTATCTAGAAATTTGTTCATTTCTTTTGGATTTTCCAACTAATTGGCATATAGTTGCTCACTAATGATCCTTTGAATTTCTGCAGTATTATAGTAATGTCTCCTTTCGCATTTCTGATTTTATTTATTTGGATCTTCTTTTTTTCTTAGTTTGTCTGGCTAAAACTTTGTCAATTTTTATTTCAAAAACCATGTTTTTGTTTAATTTATATTTTGTGCGATGTTCATTTCAATTTTATTTCTTTTCCAATCTTTATTATTCCTTTTCTCCTACTAAATTTGGGGTTGATTTGCTCTTGCTTTTCTAGTTCTTTAAGATATATTATTAGATTGTTTATTTGAAGTTTATTCCCCTTATTGAGGTAAACACTTATAAATTTCCCTCTTATAAATAAAAGCATCCTAAGAGGGATGCTTTTGCTGTATCACATAGGGTTTGGTATGCTGTGTTTCCACTTTTATTTGTTTCACAAAATGTTTAAGTTTCCTTTTTAATTTCTTCATTGACCCACTGGTTACTCAGGATCATATTGATTAATTTCCATATATTTGTACAGTTTCCAAAATTCTACTTGTCATTAATTTCTAGATTTATTCTATTGTGGTCAGGGAAAATGACTGATATAATTTCAATGTTTTGAATGTTTTAAGATTTGTTTTGTGACCTAACATATGTTCTATCCTTGAGAATAAATGTGCTGAGAAAAAGAATGTGTATTCTGCAGGTCTTAGATGAAATGTTCTGTAAGTATCTATTGGGTCCATTTGGTCTATAGTGCAGGGGTTTTTGTTGTTTGTTTTGAGATGGAGTCTTGCTCTGTCATCCAGGCTGGAGTGCAGTGACATGATCTCGGCTCACTGCAACCTTTGTCCCTTGGGTTCAAGTGATTCTCCTGCCTCAGCCTCCTGAGTAGCTGAGATTACAGGCGCACACCACCATGCCTGGATACCTTTTTTTTTTTTTTAGTAGAGACGAGCTTTTACCACGTTGGCCAAGTTGCTCTTGAACTCCTGGCCTCATGTGATCCACCCACCTCAACCTCCCAAAGTGCTGGGATTACAGGTGTGAGCCACCACACCTGGCCAATAGTGCAAATTAAGTCTGATGTTTCTCTGTTGATTTTCTGTCTGGAAAATGTGTCCAATTCTGAATTTTGGGTGTTGAAGTCTCTGGCTATTATTGTATCAGGGCCTCTTTCTGTCTTTAGCTCTAATAATATTTCCTTTATTTATCTCAGTGTTCCAGTGTTGGGTGTGCATATATTTTAAATGATTACATTCTCTTGCTGAATTGATCCCTTTAGCATTATATAGTGACTTTCCTTGCCTATTCTTATAGTTTTTGTCTTGAAATGTATTTTGTCTTGTATAAGTATATTGAATTCTGTTTTTTGGTTGCCATTGGCATGGAATATCTTTTCTCATCCATTTATTTTCAATCTGTGTGATTCTTTATAGGTGAAATGTATTTCTTGTAGGCAGCAGATCAATGGGTCTTGTTTTTTCATCCATTCAGCCAGTCTATAACTTTTAATTTGAGTTTAGTCTACTCAATATTATTACTGATAATTAAGGACTTACTCTTGACATTATGTTATTTGTTTTCTGGTTGTTTTGTAATCATCTATTCCCTCTTTCTTTCATTCTTGTCTTCCTCTAGTGAAGGTGATTCTTTGAAAGCATTTCTGGACCTGCCCTGGGCCAGAGGACAACACACTGCTCTGAAGGGTGAGTCCAGGCCAGGCAGCATTTACCCCAAAGTGACTGAAGAGACCTGGGCTTTAAGAGAAACTTGGCACTGGGCAGTAATCTGGCAGTACTCCCCATGGGCTTGTGGTGGTGGTGGCCATAGAGGGAGACTCTTCTGCCTTTGAAATGGGAAGGAAAGAGTAGGAAGAACTGCATCTAGTGCTTAGAGTGCCAGCTCAGCTGCAGTACAATAGAATACCATGTAGACTTCTAAGGTTTTTAATCTAGCTCCTGGATGGCACCTCCAGACTTGCCTGGGTTCTGGAGAAAGTCACCACTCCAAAGAGAAAGACACAGGCCTGGCTGGCCTCGCTACCTGCTTGACTGTAGAGCCCTAGGCCCTTGAGCAAACACAGGCAGTAGCAAGGGAGTGATTACAGCAGGTCCTGGGTGAGACTCAGTGCTATGCTGGTTTCAGATCTGACTCAGTGCCGTTATACTGGTGGTGGCCTCAGTAGTGCTTGTGTTACTCCACACCCAGCTTCAAATGGCTCAGAACAGAGATATTTGTTTGGGAGAAGTAAAAGAAGAGAATCAGAGTCTCTGCCTGGTAGTCCAGAGAATTCTCCCAGATCTTGTCCAAGACCATCAAGATGGTACCACTCTGAGTCTGCAAGAACCACGGTCTTACTGGGCTTGGGGTGCTCCCTAAAGCAGATACAGTTTAAATCACAATACCCAAGTCTTTTTGAATATATGGAAAGCCTTTCCAGGAAGTATGGCTGCAAACAAGCCCAGTCTACAAAGACTACCATAAATACTTAACTCTTCAATGAGCAGACACAGATGAACATCTAGAAGTATCAAGACAATCCAGGAAATCATTACTTCACCAAAGAACTAAATAAGGCACCAGGGACCAATTCTGGAGAAACAGAGATATGTGACCTTTCAGGCAGATAATTCAAAATAGCTATTTCGAGGAAACTCAAAGAAATTCAAGATAACACAGAAAATGGATTCAGAATTCTATCAGATAAATTTCACAAAAAAGATTGATACAATGAAAAAGAATCAAGCAGGAATTCTGGAGCTGAAAAAATACATTAGGCATAATGAGGAATGCATCAGACTCTAACAGAATTCGTCAAGAAGAAGAAAGAACTAGTGAGTTTGAAGACAAGCTATTTGAAAATGCACAGTCAGAGGAGGCAAAAGAAAAAAAAGAATTAAAAAAAGTGAACCACACCTATAGGATCTAGAAAATAATCTTGAAAGGGAAAATCTAAGAGTTATTAGCCTTAAAGAGGAGGTAGAGAAAGAAATAGGGGTAGAAAGTTTATTTAAAGGGATATTAACAGAGAACTTCCCAAACCTACAGAAATATATCAATATCCAAGTACAAGGAGGTTAAAGAACATCAAGCAGATTTAACACAAAGAAGACTAACTCAAGGTATTTAATAATCATACTCCCAAAGGTCAAGGATAAAAAAGAATCCTAAAAACAGCAAGAGAAAAGAAACAAATAACAAACAATGGAGCTCCAGTGCATCTGGCAGCAGACTTTTCAGCAGAAACCTTACAGAAAAGGAGCAAGTGGTATGACATATTTAAAGTACTGAAGGAAAAAAACAACAACAACTTTTACCCTAGAATAGTATAGCTGGTGAAAATATCCTTCAAATATGAAAAGAAATCAAGATTTTTCTGGACAAGAAAAAGCTGAGGGGTTTCATGAACATCAGGCCTGTCTTAGAAAAAATAATAAAGATAGTACTTCAGTTGAAGA
Source organism: Homo sapiens (assembly GCF_000001405.40). NCBI lineage: Eukaryota > Metazoa > Chordata > Mammalia > Primates > Hominidae > Homo > Homo sapiens. The sequence goes on from NC_000002.12 coordinate 52,550,560, forward strand.
AAAGGACATTAATGAACAATAAGTAAACATCCAAAGGTACAAAACTCATTGGTTATAGTAAGTACACAGAAAAGCACAGAATACTATGACATTGTTACTGTGGTGTGTATACTCTATACTACATAGAAATGCTAAATGATGAACCAATCAAAAATAATAACTGCCACAACTTATCAAGACGTAGACAGTACCATATGATATAAATAGAAACAAGAAAAAGTTTACAAGATGGAGAATGAATTAAGGTGTAGTTTTTGTTTTATTTTTGATTGTTTACGCAAACAGTGTTAAGTTGTTATCAGCTTAAAATAATGACTTATGAGATAGTATGTGCAAGCCTCACAGTAACAAACCAAAAAAAAATACAACTGCTACAAAAAATAAAAATAAAAAGCAAGAAACTAAATCATTTCACCAGAGAGAATTACCTACACAAAGAAAGAACAGAGGAAGGAAAAAAAGAATGAAGAGAAGACCAGAAAATAACCAGAAAACAAATAAAAAATGGCAGAAGTCCTTACTTATCAATAACATTGAGTGTAAAAGGACTATATTCTCTAATCAAAAGACATAGACTGGCTGAATGAATGAAAATTCAAACCCATTTATCTGTTGCCTATAAGAAAAACACTTAACCTATAAAGACACACATAGACCGAAAATAAAGGGATAGAAAAAGATATTCCATGCCAATGGAAACCAAAAAAGAGCAGGAGTCACTATACTTATAGCAGAAAAAATAGATTTCAAGACAAAAACTATAATAAAGGACAAAGGACAACATTATATAGTGATAAAAGAGTCAATTCAGGAAGGAGATATAACAATTTTAAGTATATATGCACCAAACACTGAACAGCCAAAAAGAGACATAGATTCCAATACAATAATAGTTGGAAACTTCAACAACCCACTTTCATAAATGGACAGATCTTCCAGATGGAAAATCAACAAAGAAACATCAGATTTAATAACTATAGTCCAAATGGACCTAATAGATATTTACAGAACATACCCTCTAATGGTTGCAGAATACACATTCTTTTCTTCAGCACATGGATTATTCTCAAGATTAAATCATATGTTAGGTTATAAAACAAGTCTTAAACATTCAAAAGTATTGAAATATTATGAAGCATCTTCTCTGACCACATGAAATAGAACTAGAAATTAATAATAAGAGGAATTTTGGAAACTATACAAATACTTGGAATTAAACTACATAATCCTGAATGACCACTGAGTCAACAAAGAAATTAACAAGGAAATTAAAACATCTTGTGAAACAAATGATAATGGAAACAAAATATATTAAACCCTATGAGATACAGCAAAAGCAGTATTAAGAGGGAAGTTTATAGCTGTAAGTGCCTACATAAAAAAGGAGAAACAACTTCAAATAATCTAACAGTGCATCTTAAAGAAGTAGAAAAGCAAGAGCAAACCAAACCCAAAACTAGAAGAAAAGAAATAATAAATATCAGAGAAGAAAGAAATATTAATTGAAATGAACAAAACAATACAAAAGATCAATAAAAATGATGTTCTTTTGAAATGTTAAACAAAAATTGACAAAGCTTCAGCCAGACAAACTAAGGGAAAAAAGAGAGAAGACCAAAAAAAAAAAAAAAAAAATCAGAAATTCAAAAGGAGACATTACAATTGATACAGCAGGAATTCAAAGAATTATTATGGCTACTGGGAGCAACTATAAGCCAATAAATTGGAAGTTTTAGAAAAAAAATGGACAAATTTCTATACACCCATATAACCTACCAAAACCAAACCATAAAAAAATCCAAAATCTGAAAAGACAACAAGTCAAGACTGAAGCTGTAATAAAAAGACTCAATAAATGGTTTTGGAAAAACTGGATATCCATATGCAGAAGAATGAACCTGGACGCCTATCTCTCACCATACAAAAAAAAAATCAAATTTGAATGGATGAAAGACTTAAACCTAAGACCTCAAACTACAAAACTACTACAAAAAATTGGGGAAAATATCTAGGCATTCATCTGTGCAAAAATTTATTGAGCAATACCCCATAAGCACAGGCAGCAAAAGCAAAAATGAACAAATTACATCATGACTGTTAAAATGCTTCTGCAAACTGAAGTAAACAATTAGCAAAGTGAAGAGACAGCCCACATAATGGAAGGCATATTTGCAAACTATCCTTCTAACAAGAGATTGATAACCATAATATGTAAAGAGCTCAAACAAATCTATGGGAAGATAATCTAATAATACAATCAAGAAATGGGTAAAAGATTTGAAGAGACATTCCTCAAAAGAAGATATACAAATGGCAACAGGCATATGAAAAAGTACTCAACATGAATGATAATCAGAGAAATGTAAATCAAAACTGCAATGAGATATCATCTAGCCCCAGTTAAAATGGCTTATATCCAAAAGACAGGCAATAACAAATGCTGGTGAAAATGTGGAGAAAAGGAAATGTTTGTACACTGTTGGTGGTAATGTAAATTAGTACAACCACTATGGAGAACAGTCTGCAGGTTCCTCAAAATACTAAAAATTGAGCTACCATATAACCCAGCAATCCTACTGCTGGATATATAGCTAAAAGAAAGGAAATCACTATATTGAAGCAATATCTGCACTCTCATGTTATTGCTGCACTGTTCACAATATTTAAGATTTGGAAGCAACCTAAGTGTCCATCAACAGATGAATGAATAAAGAAAATGTAGTACATACATGCAATGGAATACTATTCAGCCATGAAAAAGAATGAAATCCTGTCATTTGCAACAACATGGATGGAACTAGAGATCATTATGTTAAGTGAAATAAGCCAGACACAGAAAGACAAAAATTACACGTTCTCCCTTATTTGTGGGATCTAGAAATCAAAACAATTGCACTCATAAACATAGGGAGTAGGATAGTTCCCAGAGGCTAGGAAGGGTAGTGAGGGAGTGGGGAAGAGGTGGGGATTGTTCATGTATTCCAAAAAAATAGAATAAAAAGACCTACTAATTTATAGCACAACAGGGTGACTACAGTCAATCATAATTTAATTGTATGTCTTAAAATAACTAAAAGAGTACAATTCCATTATTTGTAAAACAATAACTGTTTGAGGGAATTGATATCTGATTTTCCATGACGTGACTGTTACACATTGCATGACTGTATCAAAACATCTCATTTAGCCCATAATATATACACCTAATATATACTCGCAAAATTTAATAAAATTTTTAAAAATTTTAAAATAAAATGAAATAAGCAATGAGCAAGTTTCATCAAGTCACAGAATCACAAGATTTTTGCTTCTAGAGAGGAACTAAGCACTATTTAGTTCAATTTATTCCTTTCACAAGTGAAAAAACCTATACTTAAATCAGAGTTTGTAAAACTATAGCTCATGGGCTGAATCTAGCCGCCTATGTTTTTACAAATAACACTTTTTTAAACACAGCCTTGTCTACTTATTTGCACATTTTCTAGGACTTTTGTTCTACAGTGGTAATGTTAAGTAGTTTCAATAAAGACCATATAATCCACAAAGCCTAAAATATTTGTTTACTCTCTGGCCTCTTCAGGAATGTTTGCCAGCTGTTTCAGATAGCATGTATAATTTGCCCACAATCACACTTTAATTAGTGGCAAAATTTGTCTAAAATCTATCTTTACTTAGTGATATGCTCTTTCTATTCTATCACATTGCCTCACTGTGTCCAATATTTTAGTAGTAAAATTAAAGACCAAATTCAAAAGTGGTAAGAAGGAAGACAATAATTACAATTAAAATGGAACTTACCCAGTGCCACTATACGTTAAGAGCTACTAGTTCAACTTACCTACTCAGTCTTCTGCATGCCCTCCAGAGAAAATGTCACAGGTCACATACATTTTTATGAATATTTACCCAATGTCACAAATTTATCAAGCTGTAATTATTTTAGTGGCAATAAATTAAAATAAAATAGCAATAATTAGTAGTCTATACTCGTGTAGGCTACATCTATACTAGAAAATAATAAAATAACTCTGTAGCTGGAACTCTCATTAAAATATTTTTGTCTTTTAATATAAACACCAAAACTCATTATTCAATAATATCCAAGTAGCTGAGCACCCTCAAAGAGACAATATACTGAGAAAAATTATTAAAATTCAAAAACTGTAAATTAGACATTCCCAATATATAGTCCCTGGACCAGCAATATCAGCATCATCAAGGGAGCTTGTTTAAAATGCAAATTCTGGGGACCTACCTCAGACCTACTAAATCAAAAATTCTGGGAATGGGATGTAGTATTCTCTGTTTTAACAAGGTTTCCAGGTGATTTTTAGTCATGCCTAAAGTCTGGAAAACACTGCTCTATATCAACATAGGTAATAAAGAAACACCCTAAAGTATAAAAAGAAAATAAATTAAAACAGGCAAATAAGCATCATTATAGATAACAACTTGCACAGCATTTATTTCTAGTCCCTAAGCCATGTTAACACCCTACCTTACAAACAAGTCACTTCTAGTCAACAACTAATAAGAGTTCTAGAAACTTTGCCAAGTATAATCAGTAAGTTAAGACCAAATATTCATAAAGAACAGAATGATATAAGCGAATTAAAATAGTCTGCCTCCAATTTGACGGCTGAAGCTTTTAAGCTATAACCATCCCTCTTCCCTTATTGCCTTAAACTTGGGCGAATTGGTAAGAAAGCCCAGTGCTCCTTCTGTTGGCACTGGTAAGAAATTTAAACCACATAAATCCTGCTAAGACAAACCTTGCCCCAGTCCACCTACCTTTACCATCATAAAAACCCCAAGCCAGTCTCCGTTATCTGCTCTTTCAAGCCATTCTGTGTCCATTAAGAGCCACTCTATTCTCTGAAAAACGTTCATTTTCTGAGTACTAAACCTTTTCATATCTTCTTGGTGCATGTATGGCATGACCAGTATTGAAATCTGACCCAAACTTTGCATGCGGAGAGTCTATCCTGTTTCCACATGGTAATCACAACACAAATTCAAAATTTTTTTTCTCATCTACTAAAAATATATTCCAAAAGAAAACCTGAGAAGTCCTGTTATAAAATGTAAGCTTCCTCTGTTGTAGCTTTCACGCAAGATGTTATATAGATAACTTATGCCTTTATTTTAGGAACATGATCAGAAGCTATACTTTTTCAGCAATAAAATTCTACCACCCCAAGATCACTGTATTAAATATTTGTGCCACAGGGATTGAGATATTGCTACATATACGCTATAAAAGAAGAAGTAATTGTTCTGATAATCATAACACTAAGAAACAACTGGGAGAAAAGTAGCTTCAGGGACAATATTCAGTAGCTAACTGTTCAACTCGCTAGTTCACATTGCTTGTAGACACTGAGTCTAGTTATGGGGTAAATCAAAGTGAATAAAACTCAGCTGGAATTTTGACACCAGCAGTGTTTTTCTTTAGTGTTGCTTCCTGGAAAAAAGTTAAAAATAATGCAAAATCTACAAAATGTCAAGGGAAAGGCAAGATAGCAAAATGGAAACTACAGACAACACAAATTATTGTAGAGCAACTCATGCTTTGGATATTTTGGATGTAATTTTAAACTGTTAATTTTAATTGACCATAAAATCCAAAACTTCAGAAGAGAAATCGTGTAAAAACTGATACTGTGATGAGAATTAGACATTAACTTCAGGCTTTAAATATGATAAAAATTATTTTCCTTACTTCTTCCATTGTTTTTAAAAATACATCTGCTTTGTAATTAATGACTGTATGTTAGATTCAAGGTGAAGTACTATCATTCTTTCTGATGAGGTAGCTGTTCAAGTTTTGGCCATAAACACCAAATTCTGATTACTAAGCCCCATGGTGATTGAGTGCTATAAAACATAGCAGAACACAAAGCCCAGACTCTTCAGACAGATGATATATACTTCTATGAACACCCAGCAGCCATGACAGTTGGCCAGCAACTTCATATTTGAACAGCATAACCATTTATCATGGAAGAATTTAATCTAAACATTAAATTATTCTTTTACTCTTTGATTAAATGAAATCACAAAAACAAATACAGTTTGATTAAAGATAATTCAACCAAGTGCCTATTAAGATGAATTCACTGTCAATGAGCTAGATGTGACAAAATTTAGTTATAAAATTATAATAGCTGAGGCTTACATATTTAAAATCGGCAGAATCACTGAGAATCATTGGTTAATTCAGGCTTGTTTCTAAATTATCCAGAAACCTGGGGAAAGGATCAGACAATGAGATCTGTACTATGTATGTCACTCATGAAGTTTCTAACAGGCAAGCTTTGTGACATTGTGAACACATATACAACTTAACAGTATTTAAACTGTTATTTGTTCTAAAATATTCCATCAAAAATCAGGTTGTGAAGAATTATTAAACAGAAAATTGAGAAAGTGAAGTTAAAGAGGTCTGAGGTAGGCCGGGCACGGTGGCTCAAGCCTGTAATTCCAGCACTTTGGGAGGCTGAGGCTCGCAGATCACGAGGTCAGGAGATCAAGACCGTCCTGGCTAACGCTGTGAAACCCGTCTCTACTAAAAATACAAAAAATTAGCCAGGCGTGGTGGCGGGCGCCTGTAGTCCCAGCTACTCGGGAGGCTGAAGCAGGAGAATGGTGTGAACCCGGGAGGTGGACCTTGCAGTAAGCCGAGATGGTGCCACTGCACTCCAGCCTGAGCAAAACAGCTAGACTCCGTCTCAAAAATAAATAATAATAAAAAATAAAATAAAATAAAGCGATCTGAGTAAAGACGGCACTGTCAAAAACACAGAGGACTTCTTTTTCTTAACAAGAAAAAGAAAACAAGAGAAGCTGCTTCAAAGGACTCAGGATATTGTTTACAATTATACTAGAGTTTTGCTTTAGAAGGAAGCTCTTAGCAGAATTAAATGAGACCCTTAACAACTGCTTGATGTCTAGTTATACAAGAAAGTACATAGCAGGCCTAATTTAACCAAAATGAAAGAGAAGTAATTTACCTCTCATTTACTTGATAAGCTAACAAAGATATTATTTGAGCATTGCTGTTGTTGTAGTTCAGACAATTATGGCTAGAGGAGACCAGAAAATTACCCTATTTCTTAATTCTTTTAAATATAACAATCTATATACAAATGTGTATGTATAGGAATAACTTACTTTGATGTTTTATTCTGCTTTCTATATTGCTTCTGAAGCAATTATTTCTTTGTTTTACCAATTTGTTTACTGGTATCAGACTTTTATGCTGGAGACTTCCCTCAAAATCTCAAGTTCTCTTTGCCTTTTAATTTATTCTTAAGAAATTAAGGTACTGAGGAAATTACTGGAAGCTTTCTTTGCAGATAATTTCACTGAGAATCACTGGGCAAATAAATTACTATTTCATTGGAGAATCTCTACATATCATTGTTCTTTTATGGTAAGTTAATTCAAAGAGGAATCTTTTACTTCTCTTCCAGATGCTGAGTGGCAGAATGCCAGTAATCTGGGAGCTAAACTGGGGAAGGTCACTGTGTTAGGCCATTTGCATTGCTATAAAGAAGTACCTGAGACTTGGTAATTTATAAATAAAAGGAGTGTATTTGGCTTAGGGTTCTGCAAGCTGTTCAAGAAGCATAGAGGCAGCATCTGCCTCTTTTGAGGGCTTCAAGAAGCTTCTATGCATGGCAGAAGGGGAAAGGGAGCCAGTGTGTGCAGATAATATGGTGAAAGAGAAACAAGAGAGGACAGAGGGTAGTGCCAAACTCTTTTTAACAATCAGATCTTACAGAAACTAATAGAGTGAAAAGGCTCATTACCACCAAAATGGCATCAAGCCGTGCATGAGGGATCTAGCCCCATGACCCAAATACCTTTCATCAGGCTCCACCTTCAGTTTTGCAGCTCTACTTTCAAACAGGAGATTTAGAGAGGACAAATGTTCAAATTAGGTTAGTCACAGTTTAACTGGGATCTTTAGACAATCCCCTTATTAACTGTGCGCTTGTTCCCTCTATTGTCTGGCATTCGTGAATGTGGAGCATCCTTTCTTGGATAGCTCCAGGAGGTAAAATCCCCAGGGTCCCCTCCACCTCAGGAAAGAGAGGGTTTTGTGAGGGTATCTGGGGTGTCTTACCGCTTCTTATAAAATTTAATCCAGGACTCTAGTGTTAAGTTGCTCTCTTCAAGGTACTTAGTGCCTCCAATTCTCTCCATAGCATTAGTTAGCTTGTTTCTTTTTCCCTAAGACTTGCACTCTGCCAATTCTGATTTTATTTATCCATCTACTCTGCATTTTTCAAAAGTTCTCAATTGCTCTCTCTTCCTCCATTTATTTTGTTTTTGTGAGTTTAGAATTTTTTAATTTATCTAGTTTCAGTGTAGTGGGTTTTGAGAAACAATATAGGTAAAGACACATATTCAACCTTCCAAGTTAAGTGGAAATTACCACATTCCCTTCTATTCCTTAGCTTTTGTCTCCCACCCATTGGTGTCATTCTTCAGTCACTTTGCCAAACTGACTAAACCCAAACCACTTTCCATCTCTTAATTTTTACTTATTTTATTTCTTTCACCTTCACCTGAAGGTCTTTTTCCCTTTGGAAGAGTATTTCTTCACATGCATTATTATTCTGTTCGCACTTCAAAGTAAAATCATATCTAACACTTGGTGAAAGTCACTCATCTGCCCATCTTGAATTATTTTCTCTTTCTCCTGTATTTGTATCATCTCCAATTTTGCTTGTTATAAAATCAATATTATTCTGCCTCAACTTAAGCTCCCTTTTCCCCCAGGTTTTATTCTACTTAAAAGTTAAGACTTACTAATCTCAGTCACCTCCACATAGTCCGAATAGCATAACATCTATAGTACAGTTATTTAAATGCATATTTGTTGAATTAAAACAAATTGAACTCTAACACTTTATGAGAAGATGCTATATTTCTTCTGCTCCTTCATTTTTATTTCTTTTCACTTCTTTCTAGGAGCTAAAAGTTTAAACACTGTTATCCAGTATTAGAACTGAGAATCACATATCCATTTCACTCTCTCTTTCTCTGTCTCTGTGTGCATTTAAATATTTTTTCAATGGTTTTTGGGGTACAAGTGGTTTTTGTTGTATGGATGAATTATATAGTGGTGAATTATTAGATTTTAGTGCACCAATTACCCAGGTAGTATACATCGTACCTAATGTGTAGTTTTTTTATTCATGGCCCTTCTCCTACCCTCCCCTTTCTGAGTCTCTAAGGTCCATCATATCACCTGTATGCCTTTGCATACTCACAGCTTAGCTCCCACTCGTAAGTGAGAATATATGGTTTTGGGTTTTCCATTCCTGTGTTACTTCACTTAGAACAATGGCCTCCAGCTCCATCCAAATTGCTGCAAAAGACATTATTTTATTCCTTTTAATGGCTGAGTAGTATTCCACAGAGTGTGTGTGTGTGTGTGTGTGTGTCTGTGTGTATGTATATATATATATATATATATATATCACATTTTTATTATTCACTCATTAGTCAATGGGCACTTAAGCTGGTTCGACATCTTTTCACTGTGACTTGTACTACTATAAACATATGTGTGTGAATGTCTTTTTCACATAATGACATATTTTTCTTTGGGTAGATACCCAGTAGTGGGACTGATGGATCAAATGATAGATCTTCTTTTAGCTTTTTAAGGAATAGCCATACTGTTTACCATGGAGGCTGTACTAATTTACATTAATTTACATTCCCACAAGCAGTGTATAACCATTACCTTTTCTCCACATCCATGCCAACATCTATCATCTTTTGACTTAATAATGACCATTCTTGTAGGAATAAGATATTATTTCATTGTGGTTTTAATTTGCACTTCCCTGTTGATTACTGATATTGAGCATTTTTTCATGTTTGCCATTTGTTTATCAACTTTTAAGAACTGTCTATTCATGTCCTTTCTCCACTTTTTAAAGGGATTTTTTTCTTGTTGATTTGTTTGAATCCCTTGTATATTCTGGACACTAGTCCTTTGTCAGATGCATAGTTTGCAAATATTTTCTCCCACTCTGTGGATGGTCTGTTTACTCTGCTGATTATTTCTTTTGCTGTGCAGAGCATTTTAGCTTAATTAGGTCCCATTTATTTATTTCTGTTTTTGTTGCATTTGCTTTGGGGGTCTTAGTATACTGTGAGAGAGAGGGATTCTGTTTCATCCTTCTACATGTGGCTTGCCAGTTTTCCCAGCACCATTAAATACGGTGTCCATTTCCAATATGCGTTTTGTATGCTTTGTTGAAGATCAGTTGGTTATACATATGTGGCTTTATTTCTGGGTTCTTTATTCTGTTGCACTGGTCTATGTGACTACTTTTATACCAGTGCCATGCTCTTTTGGTAACTATAGCCTTGTAGTATAATTTGAAGTCAGCTAATGTGATACCTCCAGATTTGTTCTTTTTGCTTAGAATTCCTTGGGCTATTCATGCTCTTTTTTGGTTCCATATGAATTTTAAGATTTTTTTTTGCTAATTCTGTTAAAAAACAATGTTGGTATTTTGATGGGAATTGCACTGAATATATAGATTGTTTTTGGCAGTATGGTCATTTTCACAATATTGGTTCTTCCAATACATGAGCATGGAATGTATTTCCATTTATTTGTTTCATCTATGATTTCTTTCAGCAGTGTTGTGTAGTTCTCCTTGTAGAGATCTTTCACCTCCTTGGTTAAATATATTCCTAGGTAATTAAGCTTTTACTAATAAATAAAAGTAACCTAACTTGTGCATTGCACTCTTTGGAGTTGAGAAAACCACGTAATTAGTGGTTTTAAAACTGGCTTTAACTGACAGCGTAATAGGGGAAATAAGACTTAAACACATGAAACAATTTATAATTCAAGGCAGTATAAAATAAAGAGTGAGGGCCAGGCGTGGTGGCTCAGGCCTGTAATCCCAGCACTTTGGGAGGCCGAGGTGGGTGGATCACGAGGTCAGGAGATCAAGACCATCCTGGCTAACACGGTGAAACCCTGTCTCTACTAAAAATACAAAAAATTAGCCGGGCGTGGTGGCTGGAGCCTGTAGTCCCAGCTACTCGGGAGGCTGAGGCAGGAGAATGGCGTGAATCCGGGAGGCGGAGCTTGCAGTGAGCAGAGATCGCCCCACTGCACTCCAGCCTGGGCGACAGAGCGAGACTCTGTCTCAAAAAATAAATAAATAAAATAAAATAGTTAGATTGTGGGTTCTGTGACAGCCCAGATAAACAGTGAAAATTATATGGGTATAATCCTTTTTGCAGAATGGGTAAGAATCTAAAGGAAATAGAAGAAAAAAGGGAAAATGTAAGTGAAAACAAAATATTTGAAAACCTAGAAAAACTCTGGGACTTTATAGGGAGATTTGTCTGACTTAAGTAACAGTAGGCCAATTCTGGAGAGTTGTGGAGAAATATGAATCTGCTAAGAATATAAATATGAATAGCTTGAAAACAGAGGCATCATAAAAAAGGAGACAAGGAGCTTCTAATCAGGCAAGTATGACATTGAAATTAGAAAATTTACATCAAGGCTCCTAAATAATGGCTATGATGGGGGGATGGTAACTGGAAACCAGAATCAGCCCAGAAATTCCAGATTATACATTCTTAATCCCAAAAAGACAATACTGATGGGACAATCAAGAACAGGAATGAGAGGGAAAGTCTTCTAGATAGTGTTCAGTTTATCTCTGGTTTTCAATTGCTTTTTTCAACTCGTTTTGTTGTTGTTGCTGCTGTCGTTGTTAAGGGGCCATATGCTCAAGTTGCTTGCTGAAGTTGTGATGAGGTTCTTTCTACAGGATGTGCTCAACAAGGTAAGTTTAAGGAAGGTTAAAGGAACATAACTCTCAAGTGATAAAGTACTAGGTACTAATTCTAAATGAAAAAAGGAGATGGCATCTCAGGTGAGAACACACTTCCAGTGTTAGATGAAGTACTAGTTAAGAGACAAGATGGGATAATCTCTTGTGCTTAAATTCTATTTTTTAAAAAATTTACTTTCTTTTTGCCCTTTTTAATGTAATATTTTTAATTTCCAAATTAAATGGTATATATTTAATGTGAAATTTTTTTCAAATTTAGGCTATTAAGAATCCAGAGATACATGTCTTAATCAATCTTCGTATCTTATTAACAGGAGTAATTTTTTTTCCTTAACATACATTGCCTTATAAATGGGTGATTATCTAGCCCATGGGAAGAAGCCAGGTAGGTGCTGACTATAGCATATGTCTCTCATATGCCTGCTGCTTCTTGAAATTCTAGAAACTCAGATATTTTCCCAGTTTTAAGGCACTACCTTTTGTTTCAGTGAAGATGGTCTGGGAGATGAAGTACATTTCAATCTGACTTTTACTGGAAATGTCTAAGGGTAGGTCTTTTTGGAGTGCAAGTTTTGATAGGAGAATGATGATGAAAGAAAACAGAAGTGGCTGGGGGCTTGGGAGTTGGAAAATGCATCTAAAGGAGGGAAAAACACTACATTAACTAGAATGACAGCAATATTTCTGCCAAAGACCAACTTTCTTCAATTTGCAATTCCATATAGGTTCAGTCAGAGGTAAAATACAAACCCAGCTATTAGCCTAGGATGATTGGTAGCATTTTTATAAGGACATATCTTGAAACAGAAAATTCACAACTATTATTTTTATCATTTTTTTTCTTATCACTCTTGACTTCAATTTGATAATAGTCATGTAAGCATTCCAGGAGCTACTGGGCTAAAGTACCTCCTGATAACATCCCCACTGTCTCGGGGATTAGCGATCATGGGTGACCCGTTAAGAATGAGACATTGTGTCAATTCCAAAGTTCAAGTAGAGCTTCACCTCTAAATCTATTTTAGATAATTCTTTTGATAGTTAGAATATAATATATCTTGAGATCACTGCTTTTAATTAATGATTACCCCTCTGCCTTTATCTTAATTCCCTTTATCTTCATCAGTGAAAGAGTCACACTGTGGCAATGAGGGTTGTTGGGCTGGAGGTCAGAATCAAGTGAAACTTATTTCATCTTTAGTTTGAAATTACATTTCTTTAAATACTGCTCCAGGGGAAAATCAATGGGTATAAACAGAAAATGCTCAAGTATGAGAAAAATAGACTTCAAGGTGAAATCTTTAAAATATATGGCTCAGGAAGAAAAAGCAGCCAAAAGGCATGTATTTCTGCTACTGGGGACTGAAAAAGATGAGCCATAAAGTGTAATCGTTTTATATTAACAACTTCCATCTTCTCACATTCATAATTGCTTTTAGCTAATGCAAAAGTGAAGATCTTAATATTATCCGACATTTGTTTGGGTGAATGGGAAAATGTGATCTAACAAAAGAGTAACACAGGATACAATAAAGCACTACTTTAGAAACAGCAGCAAGAGTTATATATTCCAACAGTGCTGGGTCCCATGATCCTTAATTTGCATATAAATAATTAATATGCATACCCCAATAATGCCAGCTTCTGTGCACTACATTTAGTATGAATTATGCAGAAATGCTTCAGAAATGCCTTTAATAGTAAAGGGAATTGCTACCCTCCAAGATATGTAGGAAATAAAATCATTTGTTTGAAACATAAAATGAAAACAGAAGATCTGATTAAAAAACATTCAGGAAAGGCAAGTTTCTTGATCAACTATCTTTTTTTTTGAGACAGAGTCTCGCTCTGTCACCCACGCTGGAGTGCAGTGGTGCAATCTTGGATCACTGCAAGCTCCACCTCCCAGGTTCACACCATTCTCGTGCCTCAGCCTCCCAAGTAGCTGGGACTACAGGCACCCGCCACCACGCTCGGCTAATTTTTTGTATTTTTAGTAAAGACGGGGTTTCACCAGGTTAGCCAGGATGGTCTCGATCTCCTGACCTCATGATCCACCCGCCTCAGCCACCCAAAGTGCTGGGATTACAGGCATGAGCCACTGCGCCCAGCCCAACTATCTTGTGTTTTATGTGTGTTTTATCTTTTAGGATTTGTACTAGCCTTCAGGAATATGAAAGTGCATATGAGTCCTTAGAAAAAGAACATAGTGAAATCACACAAATAAAACTGCTGAACAATTAGGAAGTAGTAAAGGGCAAGCCCTGAGAGTTACACAGCTCCCTAGAGGGGACACTTGAAGAAAGAGTTGAGTACCCCAAGGGAGAGATATATGTATTTTTTTAATGTTGTATGTCAGAGCACAGAAAGAGAGATTTAATATGTATTTGGAAGATTTGTTGGTTAAGAGAATCTATGCAGGCTATGCTTATGATCACAAAAACGTCAACATAAGACAATACTAGGGTTACTCCCACGGCTAAGCCAACATGTCAAAAAGTTTTCACCTAATGTTAGGAATAATTGCTCCTGATAATCAACTTGGCCCAGAACTGAGAAAGAGGCATTCAAGTGCTAACTGAGGTTCAACGAAATCATTTCACTGGTGGAGTTTCATGGGACCAATGTCAATGGCCCCCATGAACTGCTCATTGCTCTGAAGTTTTGAAGACATAAGATTCCTTGAATTACCTCAGTTTTGTTCTCTCATACTTTTGCATTCCAGTAGGTGGGTTTGATGAAACCCAGCCCTGCTGGTCTTTAAGAATATTCAGGAAGATAGTCAATTAACAACATACATTCTTGCTGGAACATAAAACTAGTTAAATTAAGCTGCAGATAATTTAGAAGAGTCTAGGCAATATAGCTTAGTTAATTGAGGGGGCTCTAGAGACAGATTGCCTGGATTTAAATTCTGAAACCACAATTTACTAAATCATGACTTTGAGCAACTTGCTCAAACTTCATTTACCTTAGTTTCCTCATCTATAAAATAGTTATGATAATACTACCTAGAGCCTTCATAAAGTCATTGTAATGATTGAAGGAGTAAATACATGTAAGTCACTTAGAATAGAACCAGCAAATAATAATAGCGCTATAAATCTTAGCCAAAATTATTGTATCATAAAGATTCAGAGTTTGAGCTCTGGAGTCATACTGCTACTTTGATTTCACTTCTTACTGAGAAATGAAAGTTCTAACCCAGCTCCTATTGCAGTAGCACCTACTGCAAAGGTCATTATGTATAACGATTAGCAAAATGCTCAGTTCTCAACGTGTCAGCAGTTAAAAAAGCCATCCCTGTTATTCTTGATATTTTATAAGATTTTCAAACACTATTATAAAATCAGATGCTTTAGTTTATGGACATAATAGTGACAAAACATTATTCAGAGAAATAGTGAGTATCTTATACATTTTTACCTAATTCTTGAAATGGCCTCTTAGCCTGCAGACTTTGAAGTTTTTCAGAAGCCAGGGAGAGGGGACAGAGGAGAAGCTACTTTATTACATTGAGTGATAAATTATACTCGTTTTCAGCATGCAGAACTAAATTTTCATAGTATAAAAAAATGTCTAGCCAGAAGCTTTGTCTGCATGACCATACAATTGGGAAAATATATATTTATTAATAAAGTATATATAAATATGAAGAGACAGTTATTGTCCTTAGAGTAACCGTGTGTTTGTTTCAATGAAAGCAAATATTTACAACATTTGCTGTAAATAATGTACCTTGACAGACATACAAAATAATGTGACACTTCCTCCTTTCTACTGTATTAAGGATCAAGCTTAGTTGATCCATACCAATTATGCCTGGATATAGCTTGCCAAAAATAGATCGATTTTAACATATGGAGAGAAAAATCAAATTATAAATGTGTTCTTCCAAGTTTTATCTAGTGAATCAAGTGAATCTAGTAATAAATGAGGTACCAGTAAGTGATTCGTACAACCAAGATCGATTCCACTATGTCCTGAGCATGTAAAAAGTTTCATTAAAATTAGGAAGAGCTGTTTTTTTAAAAAAAATTGTTTATTTTTATGAATTTAGGGGTACCGGTGCAGTGATGTTACTGAGACACATTGCACAGTGGTGTAATCTGGGCTTTTAGTGTACCTATCACATAAATTGTATACATTGTACCTAAAAGATAGTATTTCATCCCTCTCCTCACTCCCTTCTTCTTATGAGTTGGAATCTCCAGTGTCTTTTATTTCACTCTGTGTCTGTGTGTACCCATCGTTTAGCTCCCATTTATAAAATGAGAACATGTAGTTTTAAACTTTCTGTTCCTGAGTCATTTCACTAAGAATAATAGCCTCTAGTTCCATCCATGTTGCTGCAAAAGACATGAATTCAGGCTTTTTCATGTCTGAGTAGTATGCCATGATGTATATATACCAAATTTTATTTAACTTTTTGGTTCAGGGGTACATACATGTGCAGGTTTGTTATATAGATATATTGTGTGTCATGGGGCTTTGGCATACAGATTATTTCATCACCTGGGTAATAAGCACAGTACCTGATAGGTAGGTGTATGATCCCTTCCCTCCTCCAAACCTTCACACTCTATCCACAAATAGGCCTCAGTGTCTGTTGCTCCCTTCTTTGTGTCCATGTGTTCTCAATGTTTAGCTTCCACTTATAAGTGAGAACATACAGTATTTGGTTTTCTGTTCCTGTGTTACTTAGGATAGTGGCCTCCAGCTTCATCCATATTGCTGCAAAGGACATGATCTTATTATTTTTTATGGCTGCATGGTATTTCATGGTTTACAGGTACCACGTTTTCTTTATTCAGCTTATCATTGATGGGCATTTAGGTTGATTTCATGTCCTTGCTACTGTGAATAGTGCTGCAATGAACATACATGTGTATGTGTCTTTATGATAGAATGATCTATATTCCTTTGGGTATATCCCCAATAATGAGATTCCTGGGTTGAATGGTAGTTCTGCTTTTAGTTCTTTGAGAAATTGCTGCACTGCTTTCTACAATGGTTGAACTGATTTATAATCCCAACAACAGTATATAAATGTTCCCTTTTCTCCACAACCTTACCAACATCTGTTATTTTTTTAGTTTTTAATAATAGCCACTCTGACTGGTGCGAGATGGTATCTCATTGTGGTTTTAATTTACATTTCTCTAATAATCAGTGATACTGAGCTTTTTTTCATATGCTTGTTGGCCACATATTTGTCTTCTTTTGAAAAGTGTCTGTTCATGTCCTTTGCTCACTTTTTAATTAGGTTTTTTTTCTTGTAAATCTGTTTAAGTTCCTTACAGATGCTAGATATTAGACCTTTCACAGTTGTATAGTGCAAACATTTTCTGATTTTGTAGGATGCCTGTTTACTTTGTTGCTAGTCTGCTGTGCAGAAGCTCTTTAGTCTAATTAGATCCCATTCATCAATTTTTGCTTCCATTGCAATTGCTTTTGGCATCTTCATCATAAAATCTTCACCTGTTCCTATGTCAAGAATGGTATCACCTAGGTTGTCTTCCCGGGTTTTATAGTTTTTAGTTTTTGTTTAAGTCTTTAATTCATCTTGAGTTGGTTTGTGTGGTGTAAGGAAGGGGTCCAGCTTCAATATTCTACATTTGGCCAGCCAGTCATCTCAGCACTATTTATTGACTAAGGAGTCCTTTTTCTACTGCTTGTTTTCATCAACTTTGTCAAAAATTAGATGGCTGTAGGTGTGCAGCTTTATTTCTGGGATCTCTACTTTGTTCCATTGGTCTATGTGACTGTTTTTGTACCAATACCATGCTGTTTAGGTTACTGTAGACTTGTAGTATAGTTTGAAGTACGGTAATGTGATGCCTCCAGCTTTGTTCTTTTTGCTTGAGATTGCCTTGGCTATTTTTTTGGTTCCTTATGAATTTTAAAATAGTTTTTTCTAATGTGGTAAAGAATGTCATTAGTAGCTTGATAGGAATAGCATTAAATCTGCAAATGGCTTTGGATAGTATGATCATTCTAATAATATTGATTATTCCTATCCATGAACATGGAGTGTTTTTTCATTTTTCTGTATCCTCTCTGATTTCTTTGAGCAGTGTTTTGTAATTCTCATAGTAGAGATAGTTCACCTCCTTGGTTATCTGTATTCCTAGTTATTTCATTTATTCTATGGCTATTGTGACTGGGATTATATTCTTGAGTTAGCATTCAACTTGGACATTGTTGGTGTATAGAAATGCTACTGGTTTTGTACATTGATTTTGTAATCTGAAACTTTGCCTGACATGTTTCGACATGTTTATCATACCTAGGAACCTCTGGGGAGAGACTAGTGTTTTCCAGGTAAGAATCATATTGTCTTGAGGAGAAATAGCTTGACTTCCTCTCTTTCTATTTGAATGCCTTTTCTCTCTTTCTCTTGTCGGATTTCTCTGGCGAGGACTTCCAAAACTATGTTGAATGAAGTGTTGAAAAAGGGCATCCTTGTCTTGTTCTTATTCTCAAGAGGAGTGCTTCCAGCTTTCACCCTTTCAGTATGATGTTGGCTGTGGGTCTGTCATAGATGTCTCTCATTATTTTGAGTTATGTTACCTCAACGCCTAGTTTGTTGAGGGTTTTTAACATAACAGAATGCTGAATTTGGTCAGAAGGTTTTTCTGCATCTACTAAGATGAACATGTGGTTTTTGGTTCTAGTTCAGTTTATGTGGTGAATCACACTTATTGATTAGCATATGTTGAACCAATCTTGCATCTCAGGATTAAAGTCAACTTGATTGTGGTGTTTTAGCTTTTTGAAATGCTGCTGGATTTGGTTTGCTAGTATTTTGTTGAGGATTTTCCTGTCAATGGTCATGAAGGATATTGGCTTTAAGTTTTCCTTTTTTATTGTGTCTCTTCCAGCTTTTGGTATCACAATAATGCTGGCCTCATAGAATGAGTTAGGGAGGAGTCCCTCCTCCTCAATGTTGTGAAATACTTTCAGTAGGAATGGCAGCAGATCTTCTTTATAACTCTGGTAGGATTTGGTCATGAATCCATCTGCTCCTTGGATTTTTCTGCTTGGTAGGCATTTTATTACTGATTCAACCTTGGAACTCATTATTTGTCCGTTCAGGGATTCAATTTCTTCCTGGTTCAATCTTGAAGGTTGTTATGTTTCCAGGAATTTATTTACTTCTTGTAGCTTTTCTAGTTTGAGTGCATAGTGGTGTTTGTGGTAGCCTCTGAGTTTTTGTATGTCCCTTAGTCATTTTTGATTGTGTTCATTTGGATCTTCTCTCTTTTTTGCTTTATTAATCTAGCTAGCAGTCTACCAATCTTACTTATTCTTCCAAATAACCAACTCCTCTATACTTTGGTCTTTTGTATGGTTTTTCACATTTCAATTTTCTTCAGTTCAGCTCTGATTTTGGTTATTTCTTCCTCTATCTTTGGGGTTGGTTTTCTCTTTGTTTTCTAGTTCTTCTAAGTGTGATTTTAGATGGTTAATTTGAGATATTTTTTCATTTTTAATGTGGTATTTAATGCTAGAAACTTTCTTAACACTGCTTTAACTGTGTCCCAGATTCTTCTATGTTGTATCTTCGTCTTCATTCATTTAAAAAAAAATTTAATTTCTGCCTTAATTTCACTGTTTACTCAATAAACAGGGATTTTTATTCCAAAAAAAATTCAGGAGCATGTTGCTTAATTTCCATGTGATCGTATAGTTTTGAGTGTTTTCTTAGAATAGATTTCTATTTTTATTGTGCTGTGATCTGACAGTGTGTTTGGTATAATCGTGTTTTTTTCCAATTTGCTGAGGATGGTTTTAGGTCTGATTGTCTGGTCAATTTTAGAGTATGTATTATGTGCAGATGAGACAAATGTATACTCTGCTGTTTTGTGGTAGAGAGTTCAGTAGATACCTGTCAGGCCCGTTTAGTCAAGCGTCAAGTTCAAGTCCTATTTATCTGTTAGTTTTCTGCCTCAATAATATGTATAGTACTGTCAGTGGAGTGTTGAAATCTCCCACTATTATTGTATGGTTATCTAAGTCTCTTCGGAGATCTCTAAAAACTTCCTCTACAAATCTGGATGCTGCTGTGTTGGGTGCATACATATTTAAGATAGTTAGGTCTTCTTGTTAAATGGATTCCTTTACCATTATGTAATGCCCTTTTTGTCTTTTTAAAATCTTTGGGCTAAAGTGTATTTTTTTCTGAAAATAGAATAGCAATGCTGGCATTTTTCTTTTCTTTTCATCACCTATATTCAGCGAGAAGGTCACACTGCACAATGAGAAACACGCGGGGGAGACAGCGGCCCTCGAGGAGGCCATGAAAGGTCTAAGCCTGATGCGGCCCCACGGCTCCAGCTCCAGAAATATCAGTATCCGCAACTGGGCCCAAGCGGGGCCAGTACTATGCCGGGTCCCTGCTCAACGTGAACCAGATCGGGAGTGGCACCGTGGACCTGCCCTTCCAGACCCCCTTCCAATCCTTGGGCCTGGACACCAGCCTGACTACCAGGCACCATGGGCTGGTGAACAGGGTGTACCGGGAATGCGGCCGACTAGGCTCCCCGCACTGCCTGCACCTGTCAAAGGACAAACACGGACAGCAGGCCAACAGCTGCCCATACGGCACCGTGTACCTCTTGCCACCCACGGACACCAGCTGGAGAAGGACCAATTCTGACTCGCCCTGCGCCAGAGCACAATGACGCCCATGCAGCCAGAATCCTTTACTAGTGGGTCCCAGGACGTGCACCAGAAAAAAGTCTTACTGTTAACAGTCCCAGGAATGGAAGAGACCATATCAGAGGCAGACAAAAACCTTTCCAAGCAAGCGTGGGGAAACCAAGAAGACGGGATCCAGGACCAAGTCCTGCGCGGAATCAACGAATCAACATCTTCCCGTCCGCCGACCAGGAAAACACTACAGCCCTGATCTCCGCCATTCACAATACTGTGGGCTCCCTGCACCGCCTGACCAACATCCACTTCCCTTCCCCGCTCGACTCCGAGGAGCCCACCTTCCCCGCACTCAGTAGCTCCAGCAGCACCGACAACGTCTCGGCCAACCTGATGCACCTGGGCATCAGCGGCGCCGGCCAAGGGGATGAGTACACTCGGCTCCCCTCCGCAGCACCGTCCAGCCGGCGTCAGCCCCCTGTCCCGAGCACAGAGACGAGGCATCAGCAGTCATCGCCCACTCTGTCCCCGCTGTCATACATCACTCAGGCCGTGGCCTTGAATGCCCTGTCTCTGGAGCAGCAGGTACCCTACGCCTTCTTCACCCAGACGGACTCCCAGCAGCCGCTGCCGCAGCCCCAGCCTCCGCCGCCCCCTTAGCCTGGGTCTCAGCAGCCGCCAACCCCACCGCCCCTACAGGCGCCCGTCCGCCTGCCCCCCGGCAGCCCCTGTTGCCCAGCACCAACCTGAATCGTGGGCCACAGCCGCCCCCGCTCGCGGTCACGGTACCGTCCTCTCTCTTCCAGTCCCCACGAAGAATCCCGGCCTGCCGTCGATGGGGATCGACATCGCCTCGGCGCCGCCTCTGCAGCAGTAGCGGCACTAGCCCCGGCTCCTCGGCCAACCAGTCTCCCACCTCGCCAGTCTCCAATCAAGGCTTCTCCCCAGGGAGCTCCCCGCAACACACTTCCACTCTGGGCAGCGTGTTTGGGGACGCGTACTATGAGCAGCAGATGGCGTTCAGGCAGGCCAATGCTCTGTCCCACCAGCTGGAGCAGTTCAACACGATGGAGAACGCCATCAGCTCCCTATACAACAGGGGCTCCACGCTCAACTACTCGCAGGCGGTCATGATAGCCCTCACCCACAGCCACGGGAGCCTGCTGAACTCGCAGCAGCTGGGCTACACCAGCCACAGTGGCATCCCCAACATCATCCTCATAGTGACAGGACAGTCTCCCCCGGCCCCCCAGCCTCTTTAAAGAACTGACCAGCTCTCTGGTCAGGGTCGGCGACCTCAGCTTCGACTCCGACAGCCAGTTTCCCCTGGATGAACTCAAGATCGACCCCCTGACCCTGGACGGACAGACCCTGAACGGACTGCACATGCTCAATGACCCCGACGTGGTTCTGGCGGACCCAGCCACCAAGAACACCTTCCGAATGGACCGCCTGTGAGCGGGCATGCCGGCACCCTGCCGCTCAGCCATCCCGACGGCGCCTCCCCAGCCCGGGGACAGCCACGCTCTGTCCCTCTCCAATAGCCGAGCTTGTGATTCTGAGCTTCCAATGCCGCCAAGCGCCCCCAGCCCGCCCCCGGTTGTCCACCTCCCGCGAAGCCCAGTCGCTAGGCCGCGAGCCGGGCGTCCACCCACTCGCCGGCCCGGGCTGAGCTGGGATCGGAGGGTGTGAGGCCCCCGCCCCCGCAGACCCTCCCTGTACCGACTCCCTAGCTCGAAGCCCCGCCGGGGCCTAAGCCGTCCGCTGTAAGATGCGGGAAGTATCAGCTCCAAGCCTGGCGAGCAGGCTCAGGGGAGGGGCGCGCATGGTCCGCCACCATGCATTTTCCGACTGTTTGTCCAGCTCTTACTGCCTTCCTCGGTTCCTGGTCCCCCAACCTATCTGCCACCCCCAGCCCGTGGTCAGGTAGAGACTGAGTCCCAAGCCGCCCCAGGGAGGAGGCGGCAGAGCGCGGAGCAGACGCAAAGTGAAATAAACACAATTTTGAAGGCAAAATTATATATATATGCTGAATATACACCCCCTATCTCTTCTGGCTTGTAGGGCTTGTGCTGAAAGATCCACTATCAGCTTGATGAGTTTCCCTTTGTAGGTGACCTGCCCCTTCTCTCTAACTGGCTTCAATTTTTTTTTCTTTCATGCCTGTCTTGGAAATCTAATCATCGTGTGCCTTGGGAATGGTCATCTTGTATAGTATTTTGCAGGAGTTCTCTGCATTTTTTAATTTAAAGTTGGCCTCGCTAGTGAGGTTGGGGAAAATTTTCATAGATAATATCCTCAAATATGTTTTCCAAGTTGCTTCTTTTTTCTCCCTCTTTTTCAAGGATGCTAATGTTGTAGAGTTGTAGATTTGGTCTCTTTACACAAGCCTATATTTCTCAGAATTTTTGTTCATTCTTTTTCTTCCTTTATTTTCATCTGCTGAGTTAGCCTAGAGAACTAGTCTTTGAGCTCTGAGATTCTTTCCTCAACTTGATCTATTCTACTGTGTTTTTGTTTTGCTTTGTTTTTGAGATGGAGTCTCACTCTGTTGCCAAGCTGGAGTGCAGTGGCGCAATCTCAGCTCACTGCAACCTGCGCCTCCTGGGTTCAAGCGATTCTCCTGCCTCAGCCTCCCGAGTAGCTGGGATTACAGGCATACGCCACCATGCCCAGCTAATTTTTGTATTTTTAGTAGAGACTGGGTTTCACTATGTTCGCCAGGATGGTCTCGATCCCTTGACCTCGTGATCCACCCGCCTCGGCCTCCCAAAGTGCTGGGATTACAGGCGTGAGCCACTGCGCCTGGCCTATTCTACTGTTAATACTTGTGATTATATTATAAAATTATTATAGGGTATTTTTCCGCCCTATCAGATCAGTTTGCCTCTTGCTTACAATGGCAATTTTGTCTTTCAGGTCCTGTATTATTTTACTGTAATCCTAGATTCCTTGGATTAAATTTTGACTTTCTCCTGAATCTCAATGATCTTTGTCCTTACCAATATTCTGAATTCTATGTCTGTCATTTCAACCTGCTTAAGATCCTTACTGGAGAACTAGCGTGGTCATTTGGAGGATAAAAGACACTCTGGCTTTTTGAGTTTCCAGAGTTCTTGCACTGGTTCTTTCTCATCTGTGTAAACTAATGTTCTTTTAACTGTATTGCAATTTGAGTACAATCAGTTGCTTCCTTTTCTGGGTGTTTTCACAGGGCTGAGGCTTTGTGCAGGGCCTATATTTGTAGCTGAATTCTTTCACAGAGGCATATATTTGCAAAGACTTTACGAAATTTTTTTCAATTATTCATGAATGGACACAAGTTGATTCTATAATTTTTCTATTGTACATAGTGCTGCTATGAACTAATGAGTGCAAGTGTCTTTTTTACATGATGATTTATTTCTCTTTGGGTAGATTCCAATAGTGGGGTTGCTAGATCAAAGATTAATTCTATTTCTACTTCTTTGAGAAATCTCCATACTGTTTTCCAAACAGGTGGTACTCATTTACATTCCCATCAACAGTGTATAAGCTTTCCCTTTTCTCCACATCCTTGTCAGCATCTGTTGTTTCTTCACTTTTTAGTAATAGTCCTTCTGGTTAAGATGGTATCTCACTGTGGTTCTAATATCCATTTCTCTTATGATTAGCAATGCTGAGCATTTTTCATATGTGTATTGGCTGCTTTTATGTCATCTTTTGAACAATTTCTGTTCATGTCCTTTGCCTACTTTTTGATGGGTGTTTTTTTGTTGAGTTCCTTGTAGATTCTGGGAATTAGTACCTTCTCAGATGCATAGTTTGCAAATATTTTTTGATGGTTTTTTTTGTTGTTGTTGCGTTCCTTGTAGATTCTGGGAATTAGTACTTTCTCAGATGCATAGTTTGGAAATATTTTCTCCCATTCTGTAGATAGTCTGTTTACTCAGTTGATTACTTCTTTTATAATTTTCTGCTGTGCAGAAGATTTTTAGTTTTAGTCTCATTTGCCTATTTTTGTTTTTGTTGCATTTTCTTTTGAAAATTCAGTCCTAAATTATTTGCCTAGAACAATGGGCAAAAGATCTTCTTGGGTTTTTATAACTTCAAGTCTAACATTTAATCCATATGAGTTAATTTTTGAATATGGTGAGAGATACAGGTCTAGTTTTATTTACCTGCATATGGCTCAGCAGTTATCCCAGCACCACTTATTGAATTAGGTTTCCTTTCCCCAGTGTATATTTTTGCTGGCTTTGTAAAAGATCATTTCGTTTTAGATATGTGGCTTTATTTCTGGGTTCTCTACTCTGTTCCATTTATCTGTGTGTCTATTTTTATACTAGTATCATGGTGTTTTTGTTACTATAGCTTTGTAGTATAATTTGATGTCAGGTAATGTGATACCTGTAGCTTTATTCTTTTTGCTTAGGATAGCGATGGCTATTTGGACCCTTTTTCATTTCCATGTAAATTTAATTTTTTTTCTATTTATCAAAGAATGATAGTAGTTTGACAGAAATTGCATTGAATCTATGGATTGCTTTGGGCAGTATGGTCACTTTAATGATACTGATTCTTCCAATCCATGAGCATCACTGTTTTTCCATTTGTGTCATCTATTGTTTCCCGTATCAGTGTTTTATAGTTCTCCTTGTAGAGATCTTTCACCTCCCTAGTTAAATGCATTCCTATGCATTTTTTATTTGTTTTGTGTAGCTATTGTAAATGGGATTGAGTTCTTGATTTGGTTCCCAGCTTGATGATTATTGGCATATAGAAACACAACTGATTTTTGTAAGTTGATTTTGTAGCCTGATTCTTTACTGAAGTCACTTATAAAATCTAGGAGGCATTTGGAGGAGTCCTTAGGGTTTCTAGGTATAAAATTGTATCATCAGTGAACAGAGATAATTTGACTTCCTCTTTGCCAATTTAGATGTCTTTTATTTCTTTCTTTTGTCTGATTACTCTGACTAGGACTTCAAGTACTATGTTGAATAAGAGTGAAGAGAGTGGACATCATTGTCCTTTTCCCAGTTCTTAAGAGGAATGCTTTTAATTTTTCCCATTCCAGTGTCATGTTTTCTATGGGTTTGTCATATATGGCTTTTATTATTTTGAGTTATGTTCTTTCTGTGCCTAGCATAGCAAAGGTTTTTCATTAGGAAGTGATGCTGAATTTTATCAAATGCTTTTTCTGTATCTATTTATATAATCATATGCTTTTGTTTTGAATTCTGTTTATGTGGTGAATCATATTTATTAATATGCATATGTAAAACCAAACTTTCATCCCTATAACAAAATCCACTTAGTAACAGTATATTATCTTTTTGATGTGTTGTTGGTTTCTGTTTACTAGTATTTTGTTGAGGATTTTCACATCTATGTTCACCAAAGATATTGGTCTGTAGTTTTCCTTTTTTTGTAGTGTCTTTGCCTGGCATTAGTATCAAGGCAATGCTGGCTTTATAAAATGAGTTAGGGAAGATTTTCTCTCCTCAATTTTTGGGAACAGTTTTAGCAAGTTTAGTATCACTACTTCATTGTGTATCTGGTAGAATTTGTCTCTGAAACTACCTGGTCCTAGGCTTTTTTTTTATTATTAAGATTTTTTTATTACCAATTTACTTTCACTACTCATTATTGGTCTGTTCAGGATGTCTACGTCTTCCTGATTCAATCTTGGGAGGCTGTATCTTTCCAGGAATTTATCCATTTTCTCTAGACTTTCTAGTTTGTGTACATAGAGATGCTCATAGTAGTCTCTGATGATCTTTTATATTTTTGTTGTATCAGTTGTAATGACATCTTTATCATTTCTGATTGTGCTTATTTGAATCTTCTCTCTTTATTTCTTGGTAAATCTAGCTACTGGTCTATCAGTTTTATCTTTTCAAAGAACATATTTTACATTTCAATGATTTTTTTTTTTTTGGTCTCCATTTCATTTAGTTCAGCTCTGATCTTTGTTATTTCATTTCTTCTGCTAGCTTTGAATATGGTTTGTTCTTGTTTACTTCATTAACATGCAACATTAGGTTGTTAATTTGAGTTATTTCTATATTTTTGATGTAGACATTTAAGGGTATAAAGTTCCCGCTTAGCACTGCTTTAGCTGTATCCCAGAAGTTTTTGTATATTGTGTCTGTATTTTCATTTGTTTCCAAAAACATTTTGGTGTCCACTTTAATGTCATCATTGACTCAACAATTATTCAGGAGCAGATTATTTAATTTTCATGTATTTGTGTGGTTTTCAGCATTCCTCTTGGTGTTGACTTCTAGTTTTATTCCATTGTGGTAAGATAATGTACTTGATATAATTTCAATTTTTTCAAATTTATCACGACTTGCCTTGTGGCATAGTATATGGTCAATTTTTGAGAATGTCCTATGCACAGACAAGAAGCATGTATATTCTCAGGTTTTTGGGTAGAATATTCTGTAAATATCTTTTAGGTTCATTTGTTCTAGAGTCCAATTTAAATCCAGAGTTTCTTTGTTACTTTTCTACATGGATAATCTGTCTAATGTTGTCAGTGGAGTATTCAAATCCTCCACTATTATTGTGTTAGTGTCTATCACTTTTCTTAAGCCTAGTAGTATTTGGTTTATGAATATGAATGCATATATATTTAGAATTGTTATATATTCTTATTGAATTGATCCCTTTATCATTATATGATTACCTTCTTCACCTTTTTTTTTTTTTTTACTGTTGTTGATTTAAAGTCTATTTTATCTAAGTATAGTTACTCCTGTCACTTATGGTTTCTCTTTGCATGAAATATATTTTTGCACCCTTTTACTTTGAGTCTGTAAATAGGTGGGTTTTTTTAATGCAACAAAGGATTGGGTATTGGCCTTTATCCATTATACATATCCAGCATATATCTTTTAAGTGAAGCATTTAGTCAATTTATGTTTAAGGTTACTATTGATATGTGACCTTTTGTCATACAATGTTAATGTTCATACTTTTCATTTTTCATAATGTTAATTTTTATCTAATTACTTTTCAATCTTGATTGTGTAATTGATTTATAAGACCTGGGAGTTTTATACTTTTGTATGTTTTTTGATGTCAAGTATTACTATTTTGTCCATGTTTAGAATTTCTTTGAGCATTTCTTGTAGTTTCAGTTTAGTGGTGAAAAATTCTCTAAGTGTTTGCTTGTCTGGAAAAGACTCTTTTTTTAAAAAAAATTTTTGAAGCTTAGTTTGACAAGATACTAAATTATTGGGCAGCATTTTTTTTTTTCTTTAAGAAGACTGAAAATAAGACCCAGTCTTTTCTGGCTTGTAAAGTTTTAGCTGAGAATTCTTCTATTAGTCTGTTGGGATTCGCTTTATAGGTGATTAGATGCTTCTCTCTTGCCACTTTTATATTTTTTTTCTTCACATCACCTTTGGATAATCTGTTGACTATATGCCTCCATGAGGTTCTTAATGCAATGCATTTTTCAGGAGTTCACTGAACTTCTTACACCTGGATAACTAGATCTCTAGTAAGACCTGGGAACTTTTCCTGAATTCGTCTCTCAAACAGTGTTTCATACTTTATACTTTTTCTTCTTCTCCCTCTAGAATAGCTTAACTTGTAGTTCTTGGTGCTTTACATAATCCCGTACTTCTCCGAGATTTTATTCGTTTTTTAAAAATCTTTTTTTATTTTTATTTTTGTCTTATGAGGTTAATATGAAGAGCTGTGTTCCAGCTCTAAAGTTCATTATTCTTCTTGGTCAGGGCTATTTTTGAAGTTTTTAACTGTATTTTGTAATTCCCTCAATGAATTTTTCACTTGCAGAACTTCTATTTTATTATTTAAAATAATAACTGTCTCTTCTTTTATATCCCAAATTGTGTTTTTTTTTCTAATTTATATGTGTTGTTTTTCAACTTTCTCTTTAATATCATTGAGCTTCTTTAAAGTTAATATTTTGAATTCTTTATCTGGTATTTCCAAAATTTAATTTTGGTTAGGATTCATTGCAGGAAAGTTAGTGTGATCTTAAGACGGTGTTGTGACAATCTGTTTTTCATACTGTCAGAATTGTTTCTCTGGTTTCTTCTCATTTAAATAAGCCATCTCTCCTTATTTTTGAATTTATTTTCTTTTGGATAGTATTTCTCCCCTCCGTGACCCCAAGGATGTGACTAAAATGCATGTTGTGTAGGGTCCTTTAGCTTTGGTTCTGGGTGCTTTCAGTGGCAAAGACTCTCTATAGGTTCCTTTGTTATATGTGGCATTTGTATAGTGAGTGTATTTCTCAGATGCTGGTTGTAGTAGCAATATACTAGATGTGTGAGTGGGCTCACTGCCTCGTGTAGGCCAGTATGGCAGAGGTGTCTGGAAGCTTATTTCTCAGTGCTGTGCACTTGTGCCAGCAGATTTTGTATTGGGTTGTGCAGTTCATTCTCTAGGCCAATGGGTGCTTCATATGGATAAGAGCCAGCTGTGGCCAATGCAGATAGGTATATACTTGATCTTAGTTTACTGTGAGATGCTGTCTGTTGCGTCAAGCAATTAGCTATCCCATACAATTCACAGTCATCTGTGCTCCCTGCTCGTTCCTGGAGAGAGAAAACAAGCTGGGTGGAACTAGACTGGGCAAGTCCATCTATACATCCCCTAATGGCAGGTATAAGCACTAGCTTTGTGGGGGTGTCTGGAAGGCAGTAGCCAAGTGGCAAGAGATGTCCCTGGGCATGGAGTAGAGAAATATCCACTGCCTCAAGTTCTCTGCCTGGAAATGGATGGGCAGCCCATACTCATAATCTAAGATATGGGTGCTTCAAATGCCTGGAGATACATTCAGCCATGGAGCAGAGGGGGCGCTGCCACACCAGAATCTTGGCACCTGAAAGGAGGGGTGGCTCAGGCTGAGCAGGTGCACTGAATGCCTGGAAATATGCCCTGGTGTGAAGTGTAGAGGTTGGTGCTGCATCAGGATCTCTGCATGAGAAATAAGGGGTGGGTCAGGCTCCTATATCAGGTGAGTAAGTGTGACAAAGGTCTGATAATATGCCTGGGTATGGGGTAGAGACAGTGCAACTGTGTCAAAATTTCTGCACAGGAAAGGAGGTGTGACTCAGGTTCCTAATCCAGGCAAGGGAGTGGGCTGAAAGCTCAAAATTATGCCCAGTTATGAAGCAGTGAAGACAGCGAAGACACCACAGCATCAAAATCTCTCTGCAGGAAAGGAAGGACAACTCAGGCTCCTATCCACATGAGTTGATGTATTGAGTGCTTGTAATTATGCCTGAGTGTGAGGTGAAAAGGGCAATGCTGCACCACGGTCTGTGCACAGAAAGAGAGGCATGGCTCAGGTCTCCATTCTAGGCCACTTGGTAGGCCAAATGCTGGAAATATGTTCCCCAGAAAGAAGCAGAGTAATTTCTGTGAAGCAGAGTAGCTGCTGCTGCAACAAGGTCTTTGCAGGGGAAGGGAAGGTAGTCTCAGGGGTGGGGTCTGCCTCCCTACACTTCTCAAAACTTGTGGGGCACACTGTCCTGACTGACCAAAGGAACTGACTACCCAGCAATGACACTAGTCCCAGACTGCAAAGCTCTTCTGGCCACACAAATCATGCCACCCGGAGAAGCAGTGGCTTCAGCAATTCCTCTGCTCCAGTCACAGTGCCTACTGCTGGGGTGCAGTCTACACTCATCACTCAGTTCTGATTGTGGGTACCCTTCCCCTGCTCCAGAGTAAGTGCTCCATTCTCCAGCCAGAGTCCAAAGTCCCTGTGGCAGCTGCCCCTGCTGGGTCACCAAAAATTACTGACTTCTTTATATGAAACTAGATTGAAAACAGTGTCCTCTCAGTCCAAGTCTGGGAAAATTTCCGCAGCTTTTCTGGCATCTTTCCCTCATACCCTCTCCCAGCCTCTCCCCAAGTTAGCTCCAGGGCTTCGGAGAAACAAGGTGCTCTCCCGTGGCCTTGGTTGGACGAATCTCTAGTTAAAAAGTGAATCATAAATGAAAAGTGCCTCTTTTATGCACTGAGGCTTCACTCACTTTTATCAGTCAAATGCTGTCACACAGGCTGCTTGTAAACCTTCTCTTCCCCAGTATCCGGAGTGTCCCTCACTTTTTGGGTGAATTCTGTATTCCTTCTTGAGTAAAAGCTCACAGTGTTGCTGTTTATACACCATTTTGTTATTTCCAAGTGAATGAAGCATGCTAAAAGCCTCTAATCCACCATCTTGGGAAAGAAAAAAAAACAAGAAGAGCTTTAATAAAAAAGGATTGGTCGGCCAGATGCGGTAGCTCAGGTCTGTAATTCCAGCACTTTGGGAGGCCGAGGCGGGTAGATCTTGAGGTCAGGAGATCGACACCATCCTGACTAACACGGTGAAACCCCGTCTCTACTGAAAATACAGAAAAATTAGCCAGGCGTGGTGGTGGGCGCCTGTAGTCCCAGCTACTCGAGAGGCTGAGGCAGGAGAATGGCGTGAACCCGGGAGGTGGAACTCGCAATGAGCCGAGATCGGGCGAAGTGACTCGCGCCTGTAATCCCAGCACTTTGGGAGGCTGAGGCGGGCAGATCACTTGAGGTCAGGAGTTTGAGACCAGCCTGGCCAACATGGTGAAACCCTGTCTCTACTAAAAATACAAAAATTAGCTGGGCGTGGTGGTGTGCGTCTGTAATCCCAGCTACTCGGGACGCTGAGGCAGGAGAATCACTTGAACCCAGGAGGCGGAGGTTGTGGTGAGCCAGGGTTGCGCCACTGCACTCCAGCCTGGGCAACAAGAGCAAGACTCCCTCTCAAAAAAAAAAAAAAAAAAAAAAAAAAAAAAAAAAAAAAATTAGCTGGGTGTGGTGGTGCGTGCCTGTAGTCCCAGCTACTTCGGAGGCTGAGGCAGGGCAATCGTTTGAACCCAGGGGGCGGAGGTTGCAGTGAGCCGGGTTCGTGCCACTGCACTCCAGCCTGGGTGACAAAGCGAGACCCAGTCTCAAAAAAACAAAAGGTTCCTTGCTGTCGTAACATGCACTGCCTTTCTGGATATCTTCACACTGTTTTCCTAGATCATACAAAGTATAATTATCTCAAAAGAATATTAGTTCAGGTGTTCCTTATTTAAGCATTGATTACTTAATGGAAACTGGTGAATGATCACCGTTTTTTTAATCATCTTCTTTAATTTAATCACCTTGATTGAATCTAAAACTGATTGCTATTTATAGAGATATAGATTCTAAGCTCATCTTTGAACTCACCTCTAGTGTTCATTTTCTACTGCATTGTCACAGACATAATGTCAATCCGGCAGCTCTTTTTTTGTTGTGTTTTTGGCGGATCTTCAAATGCCTTACTTACACCTGCTATTAAGGGAGGTATAGATGGACTTGCCCAGTCCAGCCCCACCCAGCTTGTTTTCACCCAGTTCAACCCCACCCAGCTTGTTTTCTCTCTTTGGAACCAAGCAGGGAGCACAGACCACTGTGCATTCTATAGGACAGCTCATTGCCTGAGGCAATAGAGAGCATCTCACAGTAAACAAAGATCACTGCTTACAAGGTGGCATCAGGCAAAGAGAGGGCTTGTGCAGAGAAACTCCCGTTTTTTAAAACTATCAGATCACATGAGACCCATTCATTATTACAAGAACAGCATGGAAAAGACCCAACCCCATAATTCAATCATTTTCCACCCGGTCCCTCCCACAACATATGGGAATTATGGGAGCTAGAAGATGAGATTTGGGTGGTAACTCAGAACCAAGCCATATCATTGACTTAAAAAAAAAAAAAATCAATCAACCGTAAGGCCTTGTATACCACTTCTCTATATATGACTTCTATCAATAACATAATCCTTCATAATTCTTATTCCTCATGACAAACCAATATGACATTGCAGAAGATGAAGAACATTTTTAGCAATCCACCAACATTTTATTTTCTTTTTCTCTCATTTCTACTTCTTTCTTTGTCACTGACAACTAAGAGAATTCCCATCTGTATTATTCTGTTCTCACACCACTATAAAGATACTACCTGAGACAGGGTAATTTATAAATAAAAGAGATTTAATTGACTCACAGTTCTGCATGGCTGGGGAAGCCTCAGGAAACTTAAAATCATGGCGGAGGGTAAAGAGGAAGCAAGGCATGTCTTACCTGGTGGCAGGAGAGAGACAGCATGCAGGGGAGACTGCCACTATTAAACAATCAGATCTCGTGCGAACTCGTTCACTATCAGGAGAACAGCATGGGGGAAACCACCCCATGATCCAATCACCTACCACCAGGTCCCTACCTTCACACATGGGGATTACATTTTGAAATGAGATTTGGGTAGGGGCACAGAACCAAACATTCTGCTTCTTTTTAAAGAAAATCCTTTTAAACAGTAGACAACAGATATGTAAACATCTTGAGGGATCTACCTCATTTAACACTTTTCTCCAAGTTACTTAGAAGCTAAAGTCCTACTGAAATACTCTGTAGAAGGCAGGTCAAGCATAGATTTTTCAAAATTAAGCCCCATATAAACAGGTTATTCAAATAGTCGATTTCCTAGCTCTTCTGGTTTGTTCTCTTTTTATTCCAAAATATTGATATTCAAACACCTTGTCTTTGGCTTATCCCTCATCCCACCATCTTTTCTTGACTTTGATTTGAGTTTAGAGTATACTGAAAAATAAATTCTATAGTTTCTGTTGGTAAGAAATTACAATGCACACATTATGTTTAAAGTTATAGAGAAAATTATTCTCTAGAGAGATAAGCCACTATTTCAAGAACCTGGATGCCTAAGGACAATCACAATTATATATTTCTCCCAATTTGTTAACTCATATGTCAGAATTATTTCTGGAAAATCATCCTTTATGGGAGAAATATTCTGAATGTCAAGATAGTGATTTTAAAAGGCAATGTATGTAATAAAAGGTGGAAGTAAGTCACTTTATTTCACACACACACACACACACACACACACACACACACACACACAATGCTTCTACATTTAAAGAAGTGGGGTTTGATTATAGAAAATTTGAGCACTTGACCAAATTATAATTTACCCAATATCATCAAGAAATAAAGTAGAGCTTAATAGTCTAGCATGAGGTTAGAAGGTTTGCAAAAGAGGAACCATATTAAGAGAAAGCTGGTGGGTACACCCTATACTGCACATTCACCAGCCCAGTGAGCTCTCAGAAGATATGAAGAGCTAGTAGCACCAGCTGGCCAGAGGCCTTTAGTTCCTTTTTTTTGTTTGTTTTGAGACAGTCTCACTCTGTCACCCAAGCTGGAGTGAAGTGGCGCAATCTTGGCTCACTGCAACCTCTGCCTCCTGGGTTCAAGTGATTCTCCTCAGCCTCCCGAGTAGCTGGGACTACAGGCACATGCCACCACGCGCAGCTAATTATTGTATTTTTAGTAGAGACGGGGTTTCACCATGTTGGTCAGGCTGGTCTTGAACTCCTGCCCTCAGGTGATCCACCCACCTCGGCCTCCCAAATTGGTGGAATTACAGGCGTGAGCCACCATGCCCGGCCGAGGCCTTTTACTTCTATTCAGAGGACAAAGTTCTTCATCTGAAGACAATTATGTAAAATGGTCTAACTGCTAAAGAATTATGAAGAGAAATTTAGTAATACTAGAAGTTTAAAGGGAAAAACTATCAGAGCATATTCAGACTTTAAGCAGTCTTTTTCCAAGGGGTTTGGGATACCTATACAAAGATTTCAACTGTCTTTTCAGATAAGCAGGGGCAAATACTTATGCTTCTCAGGGCCATTATTTCCTCATTTGGGAAATCAGAAAACTATCATCTATTTTGGTGGGTGTATTTAATGAGACATATATGTTAAATACGTGTCTAGTACTAGGACCTAAAGAATGGTAGATTTTATTATGAATATAGCAGTACAAATGTTAAGAGTTTGTTATCATTAACAATGAAAACATTTTAAAGGTATATTAAATATTTTATTGCATTCTTAAACCAAAGATGCTGGATGAAATAGAACTTTCTTGGTGACTTGACATCATTGGTATTACATGTTCTAAGAACAAAACCACTAGATTTTTAAAAATCTTATGTGGCTTTTTGCCTAACATCTTGGTTCACAGCTCTGTCTGTCTAGAAGTTTAAAATTGAAAGAAATCTAACTTCCAAATTGAATAACCCTGAATTTTTTTTCTTAGCACTGATGTTACTTTTAGAAATTGATGAGAAAAATAGTTTCCATCCAAAGGCCTAAATAGCAAAATATATTTTATTCTGATAACTTCAGTACAAAGTAAAAAAAAAAAAAAAAAAAAAAAAAAGTGACCTGCACTGGGAATAGAGAAACAATCATGTTGAGATAATTATAGTTGAAAAAAGAATTCTCAAATCCTGAGTTGTAATAAAAATGTGGATCAACCTGGGAAATAAGAGATGGCCAGGAGCAAGTAACATTTTTCACCATTTAAGGTTAACTGAGAAAAAATGGAGGTCATAGGCAAAGCATCTGAGTTACTGGCAGATGATTTCACCCCTCTAGAAAGGCTTTCAGATAAGAAATTAATAGCTAGAGAGACAATGTATCAAAGGAATTTAAAGTTCATTCTGGACTCAAAAGATAAAACCCTCCAAAATATGTATTTTGAGGTAAAGCTTGACAAATTTATTAGTTTGGGGGGAAAATTTAACATAGATGGTTGAGACAACATCAAAATTAAATGAGATATCACGCAAAATTAAAAAAAAAATTAACCCTGGAGTTGAGTTTCACAAAGATACCTGGCAGGGGTTTCCTTTTACTGCTGAATGCCAAAATAATAGAGCCATGAGGAAAGGGGTGAAGAAAGTTCACATTTCAGTTGGAAGCAGGAAATTAAAAAGAGCACAAAGAGTTTTGTGTTTCCTGTTAGGGAAGAGGGCAGGTGGATTCAGGACAAGGTGAAACTGGAGAATCATTCTCCATAGATTGCTGCAATAGGGTAATGCTCTCTGATTTACCTATCAAGAATAATGTGTTGAATTATTTTTGGAAGCTGGTGGCAAAATAACTGTTGTTATAAATGATGGACTATGCCAGACTAATCTAGAGTTTTGTATTAAATATAACTTGTACTAAAACAATTATGTATTAAAAACAACTTAAA
Organism: Homo sapiens; assembly: GCF_000001405.40. Classification (NCBI taxonomy): domain Eukaryota; kingdom Metazoa; phylum Chordata; class Mammalia; order Primates; family Hominidae; genus Homo; species Homo sapiens. The sequence continues at coordinate 52,586,165 of NC_000002.12, forward strand.
GAAATCATTTAAAATAATCAAAATTAGCATATATGTTACAATGGGTGCTTGGATGTGGATGTAGAAAGCAGCAAGCAAATGCTTGATTGGATTTCAAGTTGGGTGGGAAATGAAATCTAGAATGGTCTAAATGTTCAAGGCCATAATTTATAATAATTAGAAGGCAAGCTCTTGGTGGTTAGACTATATTCATCTTTAATCTGTACTGTTTTCTTTAAAAAATAATTTAGCTTCTCATTGGTAAACTCTTTTACATTTTTCAGGAAATATTCTTTATCAAGCAACAGTATTTCTAAAATAATGCTTATGTGCCTAGTACCAAGATAAATAATATGAGCTGTGTGCAGTGGCTCACACCTGCAATCCCAGCAACTTGGGAGGCTGAGGCAGGAGGATCGCTTGATATCAGGAATTCAAGACCAGCTTGGGCAACACAGTGAGACCCGATCTCTACAAAAATAAAAAATTTACCTGAGTATGGTGTTGTGCACCTGTGGTCCCAGATACTTGGGAGGCTGAGGTGGGAGGATTGCTTGAGCGAGTTCAGGGCTGCAGTGTGCTGTGATCTTACCACTGCACCCCACACTGGGCAACAGAATAAGACCTCATCTCTAAATAATAACAACATAAAATGTAAAGGAGAACTGTGAGATAAACACCTCTGCCTTTGATTCAAAGTTGATGTTACAAAATTTTTGGAATGTGCTAAATGATTAAAAACAAACTGGTGTGTAACAGCTTATAAAACCAGAAGGAAGTAGAAACATGGAGTACTCAGAGAAGCTAAGGGTAGACAGGGAGAGGATACTTGCCTCTATTGAAGAGGTACATTTTGACTTGTGTGTTGTCAGCAGAAATGTTCTAGGAGAAGTTGGCTGCAAATACCATGTAGAGAGAGATGACATGTTGAAAAGCCCGTAGGCAAAATAGGAAGATAAGTTGGCTGGAAATACTGTGTGGAGAGAGGTGACATGTTAAAGAGCCCATAAGAAAATCAGGAATGTTATGAAAATGGAATATATTGGAAAATGGGCCCCATTCTGCTACATAAATCATTAGGAAAAAATGCACTAATTTTTAGTATTAAAAATCAATGAATTATTTAAGTGTAGTCCAGGACAGTAATGTGTCCAAAGCAGACATTCTCCAAAATCTCCATGTCATCTTCATTTTACACTAGTTTTCTTAAATCAGGAGAGAGTGGTTCATTCTAATGCTGAGTGTCATAATGAAGACTGTTTCTAAAAATGGTCCCCTTGTGATATATAGGGAGGACTTCTGGACCATTGCCTTTTCCAGTTCTATGAGTTGAGTCTACTTTCAAACGATAAACTGACAGATTCTTGGATAACGTGTTCCTCTCTTTCTCTATCTTATCCTCTGGTCAGTTCAACCCCTTCTAGAGCTCCGTCTATTTTTTTTTTTTTTTTTTTACTTTAAGTTCTGGGATACGTGTACAGAACGTGCAGGTTTATTACATAGGAATACATGTGCCATGGTGGTTTGGTACACCTATCTACACCTAACTTACGTCATCTAGGTTCTAAGTCCTGCATGCATTAGGTATTTGTCCTAATGCTCTCTCTCCCCTTGCCCCCCACTCTGGACAGGCCCCAGTGTGTGCTGTTCCCCTCCCTGTGTCCATGTGTTCTCATTGTTCAATTCCCACTTAGAAGTGAGAACATGAGGTGTTTGGTTTTCTTTTCCTGTGTTAGTTTCCTGAGGATGATGGCTTCCAGCTTCATCCATGTCCCTGCAAAGGATATGAACTCATTCTTTTATGGCTGCATAGTATTCCATAGTGTATATGTGCCACATTTTCTTTATCCAGTCTATTATTGATGGGCATTTTGGTGGGTTCCAAGTCTTTGCTATTGTAAATAGTGTTGCAATAAACATACGTCTGCATATGTCTTTATAGTAGAATGATTTATAATCCTTTGCATATATACCTAGTAATGGGATTGCTGGGTCAAATGGTGTTTCTGGTTCTAGACACTTGAGGAATCGCCACACTGTCTTCCACAATGGTTGAACTAATTTACACTCCCACCACAGTGTAAAAGCTTTCCTATTTCTCCACAGCCTTGCCACCATCTGATGTTTCCTGACTTCTTAATAACCACTATTCTAACTGGTATGAGATGGTATCTCATTGTGGTTTTGATTCACATTTCTCTAATGACTAGTGATGATGGGCTTGTTTTCATATGTTGGTTGGCTGCATAAATGTCTTCTTTTGAGAAGCATCTGTTCATATCCTTTGCCCACTTTTTGATGGGTTTTTTTTTTTCTTGTAAATTTGTTTAAATTCCTTGTAGATTCTGGGTATTAGACCTTTGTCAGATGGGTAGCTTGCAGAAATTTTCTCCCATTCTGTAGGTTGCATGTTCACTCTGGTGATAGTTTATTTTGCTGTGCAGAAGCTCTTTAGTTTAATTAGATCCCATTTGTCAGTTTTGACTTTTGTTGCAATTGCTTTCAGTGTTTTAGTCATGAAGTCTTTGCCCATGCCTATGTCCTAAATGGTATTGCCAAGTTTTCTTCTAGGGTTTTTATAGTTTTGGGTTTTACATTTAAGTCTTTAATCCATCTTGAGTTAATTTTTGTATAAGGTGTAAGGAAGGGGTCCAGCAGTTTTTGTTTTCTGCATATGGCTAGCCAGTTATCCCAGCACCATTTATTAAATATGGAATCCTTTCCCCATGGCTTGTTTTTGTCAAGTTTTTTGAAGATCAGATAGTTGTAGATGTGTGGTGTTATTTCTGAGGTCTCTGTTCTCTTCCATTGGTGTATATATCTGTTTTGGTACTAGTACCACGCTGTTTTGGTTACTGTAGCCTTGTAGTATAGTTTGAAGTCAGGTAGCGTGATGCCTCCAGGTTTGTTCTTTTTGCTTAGGATTGTTTTGGCTGTGCGGGCTCTTTTTTTGTTCCATATGGAATTCAAAGTAGTTTTTTTCTAATTCTGCAAAGAAAGTCACTGGTAGCTTGATGGGAATAGCATTGAATCTATAAATTACTTTGGGTAGTATGGCCATTTTCACAATATTGATTCTTCTTATCCATGAGCATGGAATGTTTTTCCATTTGTGTTTGTCCTATTTTAGTTCCTTGAGCAGTGATTTGTAGTTCTCCTTGAAGAGGTCCTCCCTTGTAAGTTGTACTCCTAATTATTTTATTCTCTTTGTAGCATTTGTGAGTGGGAGTTCACTCATGATTTGGCTGTCTGCTCTCTGGTGAATAGAAATGCTTATAATTTTTGTACATTGATTTTTTTATTCTGAGACTGCTGAAGTTGCTTATCAGCTTAAGGAGTTTTTGACCAGAAACGATGGGGTTTTCTAAATATAGTCATATTTTCTGCAAACAGAGACAATTTGATTTCCTCTCCTCCTATTTGAATACGCTTTATTTCTTTGTCTTGCCTTATTGCCCTGGCCAGAACTTCCAATACTATGTTGAATAGGAGTGATGAGAAAGGGCATCCTTGTCTTGTGCTGGTTTTCAAAGGGAATGCTTCCAGCTTTTGGCCATTCAGTATGATATTGTCTATAGATTTGTCATAAACAGCTCTTATTATTTTGATATATGTTCCGTCAATACCTAGTTTATTGAGAGTTTTTTAGCATGAAGGGAGGTTGAATTTTTCAAAGGCCTTTTCTGCATCTATTGAGATAATCATGTGGTTTTTGTCATTGGTTCTATTTATGTGATGGATTATATTTATTGATTTGTGTATGTGGAACCAGTGTTGCATCCCAGGGATGAAGCTGAATTGATCATGGTGGATAAGCTTTTTGATGTACTGCTAGATTCAGTTTCCCAGTATTTTATTGAGGATTTTTGCATCAACATTCATCAGGGATATTGGCCTGAAATTTTCTTTTTCTGTTATGTCTCTACCAGGTTTTGGTATCAGGACGATGCTGGCCTCATAAAATTAGTTAGGGAGGAGTCCCTCTTGTGCTATTGTTTGGAATAGTTTCAGAAGGAATGGTACCAGCTCCTCTTTGTACCTCTGGTATAATGAGGCTATGAATCCGTCTGGTCCTGGGCTTTTTTTTAGTTGGTAGGCTATTAATTACTGCCTCAATTTCAGAACTTGTTTTTGGTCTATTCAGGGATTTGACTTCTTCCTGGTTTAGTCTTGGGAGGGTGTATGTGTCCAGGAATTTATCCATTTCTTCTAGATTTTCTAGTTTATTTGCATAGATGAGTTTATAGTATTCTCTGATGGAAGTTTGTATTTCTGTGGGATCAGGGGTGATATTCCCTTTATCATTTTTTATTGTGTCTATTCGATTGTTCCCTCTTATCTTCTTTATTAGTCTTGCTAGTGGTCCATCTATTTTGCTAATCTTTTCAAGAAACCACCTCTTGGATTCATTGATTTTTTTAACATTTTTCGTGTCTCTATCTCCTTCAGTTCTGCTCTGATCTTACTTATTTCTTGTCTTCTGCCAGCTTTTGAATTTGTTTGCTCTTGCTTCTCTAGTTCTTTTAATTGTGATGTTAGGGTATCAATTTGAGATTTTTTCCAGCTTTCTGATGTGGGCATTTAGTGCTATAAATTTCCCTCTTAACACTGCTTTAGCTGTGTCCTAGAGATGCTGGTATGTTGTCTCTTTGTTCTCATTGGTTTCAAACAACTTCTTTATTTTGGCCTTAATTTTGTTATTTACCCAGGAGTCATTCAGGAACATGTTGTTCAATTTCCATGTAGTTGTGTGGTTTTGAGTGAGTTTCTTTTTTTTCTTTTTTCTTTTCTTTTCTTTTTTTTTTTTTTTTTTTTTTTTGGAGATGGAGTCTTGCTCTGTCACCCAGACTGGAGTGCAGTGGCGTGATCTCAGCTCACTGCAAGCTCTGCCTCCCAGGTTCACGCCATTCTACTGCCTCAGCCTCCCAAGTAGCTGGGACTACAGGCGCCCACCACCACACCTAGCTAAATTTTTTTATTTTTAATAGAGATGGGGTTTCACCGTGTTAGCCAGGATGGTCTTGATCTCCTGACCTCATGATCCTCCCACCTCAGCCTCCCAAAGTGCTGGGATTACAGGCCTGAGCCACTGCACCCGGCCTTGAGTGAGTTTCTTAATCCTGTGTTCTAATTTGATTGCACTGTGGTCTGAAAGACTTTTTTTAAGATTTCTGTTCTTTTGCATCTGCTGAGGAGTGTTTTACTTCCAATTATGTGGTGAATTTTAGAACACATGCTATGTGGTGCTGAGAAGAATGTATATTCTGTTGATTTGGGGTAGAGAGTTCTGTAGATGTCTATTAGGTCCACTTGATTCAGAGCTGAGTTCAAGTCCTGAATATCCTTGTTTATTTTCTGTCTCGTTGATCTGTGTAATACTGACAGTGGAGTGTTAAAGTCTCCCACAGTTATTGTGTGGGAGTCTAAGTCTCTTTGTCAGTCTCTAAGAACTTGCTTTATGAATCTTGGTGCTCTTGTATTGGGTGAATATATATTTAGGATAGTTTGCTGTTCCTGTTGCATCGATCCCTTTACCATTATGTAATGCCCTTCTTTGTCTCTTTTTATCTTTGTTGGTTTGAAGTCTGTTTTATCAGAGACTAGGATTGCAACTCCTTTTTTTTGGTTTGTTTGTTTCCATTTACTTGGTAAATATTCCTCCATCCCTTTATTTTGAACCTATGTGTGTCTTTGCATGTGAGATGGGTCTCCTGAATACAGCACACTGATGGGTCTTGACTCTTAATCCAACTGGCCAGTCTGTGTCTTTTAATTGGAGCTTTAGCCTGTTTACATTTAAGGTTGACATTGTTTTGTGTGAATTTCATCCTGTCATCATGATGTTAGCTGGTTATTTTGCACATTAGTTGATGCAGTTTCTTCATAGTGTCATTTGTCTTTATATTTTGGTGTGTTTTTGCTGTGGCTGGTACCAGTTTTTCCTTTCCATATTTAGTGCTTCCTTCAGGTAGAGCTCCCTCTTTCTTAGCTTCCAGAAGATTTTCCTGGTCTCAGTTAACTATGTATTACATACTTTATCTGAGATTCCTCAGCCTGTTTTCAATTCACATTTTAACAATTCTCCATTGTCTTCTCCCCACAGAGCCCAGCTCTGTTTTTGCACAATATATTCAGGAAGAGGAACTGGAATTTTACCATTTTCAGTCTTTTAATTGGGTATTTTGATCCTCTCTACTGTGCAGCCAAGGCTGTTGTCCCATCTCAAACAGTCCTGTGAAATATATCTTGGTTGTCCAGGCATGGTGAATACTGATCAAATGAGAGACATAATATGACAGAGAGGAGGAGGGAGAGGGAGAAAGAAGAAAGAGAGAGACAGGAAGAGGGAGAAGATCTCAATTGCTCAACTGAGCAATTTCAGAAAGTGTGTGGAGACCAGACTGTTGAGGAAGCTATGTGCTTTATGGCCATCTCTGCTACATCAGAGAGCTCAGAGAATGACACAACGCTTCATTTGCAATTTAACACTTGGAATCAGATATGTAAAAATACTCAATTTTTGGTAAATATTTTAATAAGAAGAATACTTTTTAAAAAGGAACAGTATTTATAAACTTCCAAATTATTTGTACATTTGATTATATGCAAATCCATAAGAAATTAGTAAAAATGGTACAGGAAGCAACTGAAAACAATCTTTAGGTTATATCTGTGTAGCATGAATTTTATTCTGGAGAAGAAATATTTTCATGTGTCAGAAATTCAAATTTTCAAGGATTTCTGAGACATTTTTATTCAAAAGGCCAATGTTCTTTTGGCTTAGGAACTCCACCAGTTTGGTACGGATTTGACGTAGGAAAAAAACACTGTTCTTTCTCATTCCTCCTCTACCAGCCATTGTCAGAGAATTCCACTAATCTCTATAAAACTAGATTCTGCCTTTGTCAAGTTGATAAGGTCTTTATTTTACAAATATTTAGAACATTTACGCTGCTTCACAATCATGATTTTATTGGCATTACAGATGTCATGAAATTCAATGTGGCCAGGTCAAAGTAGTTTCCTGGCATAGTGGGCCTCAGCCCTACAGAATTTATTCCCAGCTCTATCACAGAATAGTATGTAGCCTTGGACAAACTACCTGTATTCTTGGAGTCTATTTCCATAGTAATATGCAGAGTTACATGACACTCGGAAAAATATAGTATATAACATTTAAAAAATGAATTTAATATTTCCATTAAAGTAAATTAACATCTTAATGTTATACCATTTTTTGGAAATAAATTCAGCTCTGAATGCATAATGTTGCCCACAAAATTAATCCACTGGTAAAAACTAACATATAAAACATCCTAATATTTTTGTACTTATAAGCACAAAGGAACATCAAAACTTTCTTTTGAAGTGGAAATACCTACTGCACTACACTTGATATTTGTTCAGAGTGCTTGTAAGAAATCTCGTGAAGTAATGAAGTGTAGAGGAACGCTTTTTAAAAATGTTTAGGAAAATTGTGTTTTACATTAAGTTTTGAGAACTGTAAATCTCAACTATTTACCAAAATGGATTTAAAAAAAATCTGGCAACAATGAGCAGTATATAAGTTAAAATATTGAAACAAGGAGATTAAAAACTAGAGGGAAAGGAAAGTCTAAATCAAGACAGAATAATATTAGTTTCATAACAGAGGTACATTTGGGGCAAAAGAAAAATACATTAATTTAAGATGAGTATTTGAATAACTTTGCAAAATTCCAGATCTGATTTGGCTTTGAAGTATGGACAGAATATTAATATATAAGAAGAAAGAGCATTCCAAAAGGAGAAACCACCTTCTGGTTGAGGGTGGGAAAAGAAGGATGAAAAAAATGACTTGGTAAATAATTCCTATTTTTCCTCAAGATGTAGGCCCAATGTACATGAATACCTCTATATTTAACAATGAAGAATCATATGGCTTGGAAGTGGTCATGTGCTCTGGGTGATCGCAGCAGAAATAAAGAATTGTGTTGAGCCCCTGCTTCACATTCTTCCTCTAGCACAGAAGGACACAGGGACCTCCTGAAGTGCTGCCAGAGTAAACAAGGGAAGATGAAAATTGTTCTGTGATCCATAAAAAGTAAAGTAGAGAGAAAACTGGAGTTTCCTGTGCTTTTGTTTTCTTCCTTTCACTTAAGTCGCTGTGACTTACCAGGAAACCATTTAGTGCTCTCAGGCTAAATGGAATATTCAAGCCCCTAACACCCTGATAAATAAAGTTCACTGTTTCAGATAAGTAAATGCATTCTTTCAGGGGCCATTTTATGTCTTGCCTAGCAAGTTTACTGCTTTGAGACTTGTCTTAGGAATAGGAGTAGGGAGGTGGAGTGGATTGACTAAGATTTTAGCCCCTGGCTTTTAACAAAATCCACAATCCACAAGTAGTTCTCTCCTTGAGGACTCACTAACCTAAATTTCTTGGCTTTCATGAGTTTGAAGCCACATATTAATAGTATTGTGATGATTTTCTTCATGGGTTTTAATGTACCATTAGTTTCATATTAGATGCCTTTAACTAAATGTATCTGCCCATAATTGTTTTAAAGGATAACCAATTGTTTTGACAACTATAGGGCAAGGCTTTCAATAGCTAGTGCAGCATTAAATTAGAGGTTTGTAAAACTACCAGAATTGGGCTTTGAAAGTGCATATAGTGTTCAAGTCTACCACTGAAATGCTCTCATGCTACGTGGCTTATTATTTCCACTACTGTAGATACAGGGATCAGATGGCCTCTTGGTTTATACCCTCATTATAATGGCATCATCTAGCACTACCATGGCTAATTTCCCAGGCTTATCTCTCTCTGATCACTGTAGGAGTTTCTATGGAAAATGCCATTTCTTTTAGAAAATGTGGCAGTTATGAATATATTCATCTCTAGACTCTCATGCAAATGCTTTCAATGAAATAGATAAAAATCAACTCTGTGGAAAAGATATCTCATGCTTATGACACTTCAGAGGACACCTGTGCTAACATGACCAACAGAGCAATTCCTCTGTTATATGCCCCCTAACGATGTATTCAGTTAGATATTCTGAGCTGAAAGAAACAGATAGAATTCTACAGATGGCATCTAGAAAGAATGATCACTCCTGCTCTTTCTGTGTTCCCTTCATGTAGGGTAACACTTCCCCTGACTTCTGTAGTCTTGTAAAGGGAGTACTTACACTTCACTCCTAGCAACCAAGGGCAGACATGCTATGGAACCCAGTTTTTTCTTTAACTGGGACAGAATCTTGGCCAATCTAGGGTGGTATATGCTTAGGATAGGGCCAATGTTATCTCCTTTCCTGCAGCTTTTTGCACAGGCTTTGAAGCAAGGAGGCACCCTTAAATCTTCCTCTGTCTGCTATTTATTAGAAAAATAATAATAACAATAACAACAACAATGGGAGTAGTGAAAACAACAGCTATTATGGGTTTGGGTGTGTCACAGACTGATTGTTTGTGTCATCTTCAAATCCATATGTTGAAGACTTAATCCTCCATTAGTGGTATTTGATGATGGGGTCTTTGAGGGTTAATTAGGGTTAAATTAGGTCATGAAGGCAAGGTCCTTACGATGGGGTTACTGAGTGGCTTTACAAGAAGAGGAAGATCTCATTTATGCACTGAGGAAAGGCCATGTGAGGACACAGAAAGAAGGCAGCTCTATGCAAGCCAGAAAGAGAGCTCTCATCAGGGACAAAATAGGCTGGCACCTTGATCTTGGACTTGCCAGCCTCTAGAACTGTGAGAAATAAATGTCTGTGGTTTAAATCACTTAGTCTATGGTTATTTGTTATAGCAGCCCAAGTAAACTAAGACAAGGGAAGAGGAATCTGGCGTTCCTTTTCCAATGGAGGAACATCATCTGATACTTGTGGCCTTTCTCCCACACTCTCCCTTAGTCCTCCTCAGAAAAAGATAATAGTCTTATCTGATTGGAGAGTTTGAAAAAAGGATCTGAGCTGGTTGACTAGGAGCCATCTGGGTTTCCTTTTTCAGAGCCTGCCTATTGACAGAACACACAGGAGACTGTCCCTGGAGGAGATATTTGTTGTGCATAGTTCCAGGTGGAGAATTAAGTTAATTCGGGAATAAAATGTTACCACTTAGCTGCAGCTCTGAAACCACATTTCCAGTCAGTGTATTAATAATAATTAGATCTGTACCTGACCCTTACACTTACTTTGTATTGATTCTGAACTCAGCGGGAGAACAGGGGTATTATTTATGAACCCCCTAAATAATCTTTAGATGTACCAGTGATAGCATCTAAGTCTCACATTTATGGGCCATTTACTATATCCTGGATACTATACTGAAAACTCAGTATCGTAACACAAGGGTGCTACAGGGGGACTCTAAAAACAGAAGACCTGGGTTCAAATCTCATATATGTCATACATTCTGTAATTTGAGATCAATTACTTAACCTCTCTGACCCTCACTTGAAAAAATCAGAATTATACTAGCTCCTACCTCACAGAACTCTTGTAAAAGTTCAATGGATTACATATCATATGCTTAGAAAATATCCAGCACATACTACATGCATAAAGGTTATCTAGCATTCCTTACCACAACCAATAAAGTACCACATTTTTCTCAATTGTATAGATGAGCAAAATGAAACTCAGAAAAATTGAATATATTTTTCAGGAAGTTCCCACAGTTAGCAAATTGCAGAGTTGGGATTTAAAGCCAGATCTCAGCAGCTATATTTTTTTCCCAGGAGGGATGTTTATCAAGACAGAACTCTATCAAATTAGAATAAAAGGTGGAGGGTAAGCTAAGATTCCTTCATCTATCTGATTTGTCCATAAAAGGAAGGAATAGCCACTCTTTCACACTGCAACAGTATTCCTTGCATATCTTTTAATGAATGTTGTCCTTTCTTACCATCTGTGTGTAATCAAATATTCACAACCATGTTTTAAGAGTTTCTCACTTCAAGGCTATCACTGTACTTACATCGAAGCTATCATTCAGATATTTGTAAGAAGTTTCCATTCTTAAAGACCGTTATCACCCACCTTTTGTCAACATGAGAAAAATCATAAAGATACACTTTATGGTTGGAAATTTTTGTGTATGAAATTGCTATTTTTAACAAAAATCTGCTAAGTCATTTAAAACAAGTCTTAGTGAACCATTTATTTAATTTTTCCTATAGATTCCAAGTCCCAGTGGGGTCAGATTCCTTGGCGATCAGAACATTTTTCTACTCAGCTTTACTTCTTGATGGAACATTATTTCCAGTTTAGTGGTAGCCTTTAAGGACAAAAATGGTCATAATGAAGGAAAATGCCACAGGAGTATAGAAAAGAGTCTTACACAGGGGCATGAACTCTTACTATATACTCCCTGTTCCCAGCCCTGATTCACACTGAATGTTCCCAATTTATGCACTATCAACCTATTGAACTGTAGCAGCAAGAAAGAGTATTATGAAAGTCTGGATGATAGCCAGCAGCAAATTCATCATCCAGCAGTCAGGGAAAAAAATCTAGGCTAGCCTGATGAAGAAAATATAGGTCCACTTGAATCTGAAGAAGACTCTTCTTGAATCTGAAGAAGAAGGACCAGGTGTAAACAGTATGGTCAAATCAACTCAAAAAATGGAGATACCAGCAACCCAGAGTCCCATCTAGTTGCCTGTGATATTTCTGAGGAAACCTTGACAAATTATACATTATTTACTCCATTTCTGGTGTGATTTTTTGCCAACTCATATACCAATGCATGTAAGAGACGTTATTTCCTCTATGGTATGCCTAATAGTTTATAAGTAGCCCTCTCCAAAACACAGAGAATGGGGCCAACAATATTGCTTTCCTAAGGCAGAGCTCAGCAGGAAGCAGCAGCTCTCCTAACTTGATGCTGCTGGTTTTTACTCACAGGGAAACTTGAGCCTCTGACTCCGAAGCTGGAAATAGAAGGTTGTCACCAAAAGTAGACAGGTGGATTGCCCAAGGTTATTAAATATGTCTATAAATGACAGTAATTATTCCTATTATTTATCCCTACCTGAATGAAAGGACTTCTTAATTAGTGCCTGAGAAAGTAAATGAGGATGTAACTGACAGAAACAGTATGCACAGTTTTGCTATAATGAAGCCAGTCGTGTAATGAAGCATAAGTCAGTTTATCACCCTACTCAAAAGGAAACTCCTACATTGCCACTGGAGATCCTTTATGAATTTTACCCTTCACCATTATGAAAACTGTGGGTCATCAGCATGCATATGATACATGAAATTTTCTTGACATTCCCTAATTTCAGCTTGTGCATTTTTAAATGAAGTTTTATACAAAGATAAGGCTAAAAAACCTCAATGAGGCTGGGTGCGGTGGCTCAGGCCTGTAATCCCAGTACTTTGGGAGGCCTAGGCGGGGAGATCACCTGAGGTCAGGAGTTCAACACCAGCCTGGCCAACATGGTGAAACCCCATCTCTACTTAAAATACAAAAATTAGCCAGGCGTGGTGGCAGGCGCCTGTAATCCCAGCTACTCAGGAGGCTGAGGTAGGAGAATTGCTTGAACCTGGGAGGCGGAGGTTGCAGTGAGCTGAAATCGTGCCATTGCACTCCAGCCTGGGGGACAAAGCAAAACTTTGTCAAAAAAAAAAAAAAAAAACTCAATGAATAAGGAGAAATTGGTATTCTGCATGTAAAAGGATTATAATTTTTACTTAAGGAAATGACTTAAGTCATTCTGGAAAGCTATGAAAGACTAGCCATGTTTATAAGAAAGTAAGGGGAAATTAATGAAACCAAAGAAGAAGACAATGGAGAAAGATAAATATTTAAGGAAAAGGGTAACATTGAGGGTTTGTTTTTTTCCCAATTCCACGAGGCTTTCCTTTCTCTAAGAGAAGTCTCTTCTCTCAACTTCTTGTTAGAAGGCAGATTATCTCCGGCAGAGACTCACAAACTCTGCCTCTACCATCTTCAGTTCTCTAAGTGCCAAAGAATGTGATGGGAGGTTTCTCTTTTGTTTCTTCTGGATGAAGTGGAAAAAAAAATATCATATGTTTGGTGAGATTCTCAATGAAGTGTCATTTCTACAGAAAAAAATTTTTTTAAGAACCACTACTTGTTAACATTAGAATTGGCCAACAACACATATCCCATATGTATTCCTGAATGAGTTTCACTGAGATATATTATAAAGATAACAAACATAAAAAGCACCCATTTTTTTTTTCCAAGATCCACTCCTAAGGCTCAATAGGCATCCACTCTTGAGTAGACCAGGAAATGTTTATATCTCCTTTTTCAACTTATTGATTGCATTAACCTCATACACTATCGTGTTCTCTCACCTATATCATAATACAGAATACTATTTTTAATTTTACTGTTTTATTTATGTTTCTTCGATGCAAATTTATTATAAATTATTTGTAGGGAAATTCATATTATGGTGCATTTCTTTTGTGCTGCCAAATACACAGGAGCCCATAAGTCTATTAAAACACAGGTACTTATCTAATACATTCATGTATTAACATACATGTACATTAATGTTTTGTTTAAAAATCTAGAACTAAAGGATCACACCATATCTGCCTTACAGAAGGTTAATATTTCTCTCATTCCAAGGGCTGCTAATATAAATAACAAAATATTTGATGCAATTGAATCTAAACAGATCCAAATGCTTTCCTAATATAATAATTTTTAGAATTTTAGGCTTAGAAGGCACCTTGCAAACTGTTCGAACTAGTTAGCTTAGTTTTCTTTCATTTTTTCATATGAAAAGTCTGAAGATCATAGATATTTAATGATTTGATCATGGTGGGGGATTATTAGCAGCAGATCCAGAATTAATATCCAAACCTTCTTATTCTTTATTGCTAATATGAAGCTCTGTCTTCTTAGTCTAATATTCCTCCCACATTGCAAAAGGTATTATACTTATTTTTTAAAACTAGAGATTTAAAAATATATTTTTAAAATATAGTTGGCAATAATCACATCTCTTATAAACAATCAATATTTTTTATATATAGCTCCAGCATTTATATATTATAGCTTAATGTTCAAGTGAATATCTCTCTTCTTATTTGCATGGTTTTGATTGTCTTTGCTATGGGAATATTAAATGTAAAAGGAAGATTCTGGCTATTGTAATGGGCTTAAAGTTATTTTTAACAGAAATATATTGCATAAGAATATTTAAATAATAATAAGCCATGTAGCTTTTTCTTACACAGAAACCCAAAATATTCCACAGGTTTAAGAAATGCTTCAATCTGAGCAGAAATAGGAAGCTTTGACCTTCACCCATTGTCTCCTCTCACACTGAGCTTCAAAAACGTCTTAGAGTAACTCTGGAGCTGTGGGAACTTGGTTTAAAAGCCATTACCACAGGGGGGTCTGTAGCTGATGCATGTTGATGATGCTTTCAGTCTTCGTTCTGACCCTTTTATAAAAGTTCTGCTCTTTCACTACACTCAGTTTGCACGGAAAGGTGATGCTGAAGCCGAGCTTGACCTATAGCCATGGACAGCTTTCTGTTGCCAAGGTCATTGAGGTAGTTTCTTCTTCAGGGTATGTGGGAGTTACAGAACAGAAAGAAAAAGGATTCTGTAGTAGCAAATTCTTCTTACATCAAAATTGGCAGATTTCATAATTTTACCTGAAATATGTTGTCATGACATTTCCAGTAAGACTAATAAAACAACATGAAACATTTCATACCCACTTCTTCTTGTCCTTAAAAATGATTCAGACCTAAATGATATAAATCATATAACAAATTTTTAAATTATATCATTAATTTATTATATCTTAAAGCAACTGTTTTAATAGGTGGAATTTGCCCTTCTTAGGGATATTTAGAATATTTTTTAAAACCAATAAAAATATATTAAACAATAATTAAAGCCTGCTCTCTTGTTCCAATATCTAACTATTACTTCAACATCTCTTCCATGAATTACTCGTCGTTTACATGAACTACTGCCTGAAAAATACTCTTGAAACTACACATAATTATAAAGAAAGCAATAGTATAAGTCTAGGGCTCCAAATTCCTGCATATTCATGGGTATTAATCAATTTAAAACTAAAGACATTGATAATTAAATATGTAAAAATTAAAATACATTTAAAACTCTATTAAGAATATGTATGCTACAGATTTGAAAGGTAAATAAAAATATTTATCCATGGAACCAATCAGTCTCTTTAGGTCAGCCACAGAGTTTCTCTATCTCAGGATGAAGGCACATAATTTTATGTAGCATCTAGGTTAGGGAATAAAGAAAAAAGAAGTGTCCTGTAAAGATTTAGTAGCCAACTCATCCTTTGTACTGATAGTATGACTTTTTCCTAGGAAACTAAACATATTGCTAACTTTATCTCAAATTCACCACCAGATCAGAGAGGGAAGATGCCTCTTAGATGAAGAAACTAGTCCCTGATAAGATTCTATAATAAAAACCATACATTCTAAACCCCAGTTAATTCTTCATACTTCTTCACACTGTTATCAAAACACCAAGGGGTTCAGTCTAGGCCCTGCTGCTCGCTGCACAGAAATCCAATGACTGAGACAATGAGTGAAACAATGAGTAGTGCCAAGGAAGAAAGTGTTAATCAAGTGCTGCAGCCAGTCTCAAATCCATCTCTGTGAGAGACTAAAACTTGGGGCTTATATAGCAGAGAAGAAATCAAACAATGTGTAAGAAAACAGGAACTAGGGAGGGGAAAGGAAGCAATCATCGTGAGTGAAGTGTTCAACATCATTGTTCGGATATAGTGATCTGTTGAGTTTCAGTTCTTTGATACTCTTTTTGAGAAGTCTGAAGGTCATTTCCTAAGAAAGAAACTCAGATAAAACAAATATGTTTCAAGTTTTAAGACCATAATTGTCCATTTCTATGTTTATCCAATAAAACTATCTATAGGACTATTGACTTGGTTTCAACATCACCAAAGCCATCTAAACCATTTGAATTAAAAAATTATTCAAAAGCAATTGGTTCAAAACAACAATGAGATACCACTTTTCTAACAGTATTTATTTCATTTTAAACAATGGCTTAGTTTTGAAAATTTGGAAATTTTTTTATTGTAAAAAAATAAATTACTGGTAATCACATCCTCTATAACGACTATAATCAAAATGAGAGTAATAAGAAGTGTTGACAAGGCCATGGATAAATTTGGCCCGTTATATACTGGAAATGTAAAATGGTATGACCACTGTTGCAATCAGTTCCTTTAAGTGGAAGGCATAAAATTAGCAGAAGAATAAACAATTTCATTTATTGTAACTGTGCAAAAACAAAACAAAACACTGAATTGTACATTTAGAATGGGTGAATTCTATGGTATATAACTTATATCTCAATAAAGCTATATTAAAAAAAGTAGTTGATGTTAGCAAAGTAAATGCCCATTTCTTTCACATATTTTAACTTACTGGGAAAACAACAAACTCAGAAGTGATTAACTACATCACTGAAATCAAACTATAAATTGAAAAGTTACATTTTCTTGAAATGGTCTCCAGTTAATACCAAACCACCTGGAATTAAAAGTCAAAATAATTTTACCAACAACTCAAATTGATCTAGAAAGTAAGATGTTATCATCATGAAGACAGAATGGAGAAGAAAACTAAAAGACTGCTTGGATAGCCCCATATATTCCAGAAATTGGATCTCTGTTACTTAGGGAATTAACATGGCTGTTTTGGGAAGATTTTAATCTGGATTTTTGGTTCCAGCATAACATCAGAATCTGACATTTTTTATGTGCTATACAACGATTTGGAGATTTTTTTTCTCCCGAAGTTCTTTAAAGGAAAACCAATAGGAAGGAGTACAGAGTTACTTTTTAGATGCCTGGTTGATTTCTTTCATCATAACCTTTAGGCCATCTCCAAGGATACACACTTGCTATGTAAAGTCCGAGTGATTTTTATGATCAAAAAGCCAAGTTTCCATCCAGAATTGACATATCTACACCCCATTGCCAATTTACTTTAGAAAATTGGAATATTAGAATTCATTAGGATTTCTTCAAAAAGAATTATTACCAAAGTCCTTTCAGAAAATATTCGATTATGGGTTGAAAATACACGAAAACAACAAATGTTTTGCAGGTTGTGTCTGAATACTTTAAATGCACAAGTGTCTTTGTTCAGCCTGATTTTGAAAGTTAGCTACAGGTAAAAATACACGTAATTGGCCAGGCGTGGTGGCTCACGCCTGTAATCCCAGCACTTTGGGAGGCCGAGGCAGGCGGATCATTTGAGGTCAGGAGTTCGAGACCAGCCTGGCCAACATGGTGAAATCCCGTCTCTACTAAAAATTCAAAAAAAATTACCCAGGTGTCGTGGTGGGCTCTTGTAATCCCAGCTACTGAGGAGGCTGAGGCAGGAGAATCTCTTGAACCTGGGAGACAGAGGCTGCAGTGAGCCGAGATCGCACCACTGCACTCCAGAATGGGTGACAGAGTAAGACTCTGTCTCAAAACAAAAATAAAAATAAAAAAATACATATATATGTAATTTTTCTGTTGTATTGAATAAAATAAATCAATGGACTTTTTGAGAGATAGTAAGTTTTATATTTAAAAATACACTAAGAGATCTAAAAGTAAAAACCACAGAATTTGAATACCAATTTTTACCTATGTGATTTTGGACAAAGTATTTAATCTTTATCCCAATCCTCACCTGAAAAAAATAGGATTAATAGTATTACCTTACACACATTTGAAAAACAATGCCAAATGAATCTAAACAATCAACATTAAGCCCGTTCTAAAGGTCACTGAAATGAGTCAAGCCTCCACTCCAATTATACTAGTAGTATTTGAAAACAATAGTTTCTTTTCTCTTCATACCAACAGCATATGTATGATAATTCTAGATTAATAAAGATGCTCTTAATCATATGATACTAATATGAAAATGTAAGGCTTGCAACATTTATATAAATATTGATCAAAGAGTAGATGGAATCCATTGGCAGTTCAAAAAGATATAAACCCTACTTAATCTTTTGAGTGTCACTTCAAATGGTAGCTGACTTATTAAAGGGGGACCTGTGGTCAGAGAGAATGAACCTTAATGAAAATTAATTTCTAAGTCAAGATTGGTATTAAATAGATCTACTCAAAACAATGAATGAGGCCTCATATTTGTATTCACTTCTATTAATAAGTATCAACATTCTCATTATAGAGAGAAAGCTTTAGAAAATATTGTCGATGGTCAACATGTAAAAAAAAAAGGATAAAATTCCAAGGTATAAATTATTTCCCCTACCATACAATCTTCAAGTACATTTTTACTGAGGAAGATGTCAAATGATACTTGGTAAATATGAAAACCCCTTCTCACAACATTAAAATGACAACCCAGATCAGATTGTAGAGTTATATTTTCTAAATAAGAAGTAGCTAGATTAAAAAATAGGTATGTATTACTTGATCTAAATGTGGGTAAAAACCTCTCTAAGCAATAAAACAAAGGGAAAAATTATTTTAAACAACAGAAAAAAGTTACTATACTAACTTAACTTATAAATTTTTTAAAACTCTATAAAATAGTAGTCAAATACAAATGTGCAGAAAATTATTTTAAATCTATGTCACGTAAAATGAGTTAAAAATTTAATTCAACTGAAAAATTGAATAGAACATTTATTGAGGTTTTAAAAGTCAATTAAAGTGATGGAAAAACAGATAAAGAAGAAAATCAAAGAATATACAAATGGCTAATACACTTATAAAATATTTAAGCTAATTGATCATGTTAAAGTCTTAAAGTTTATGTTGCAATTAGCAAAGAGATTTTACATAAAAATGCATAGAATTAAAAATGTGAGAAGAGAAAAATTACCCACGGACCAGGTGCAATGCTAATTTTTAAAGTTCTATAGAGATATGATTCATATTTCATACAATTCACTTATGTTAAGTGTATAACATTTTAAATGGTTAAATTGTTTTTAAAATATTCAGAGATATGTGCAGCCACCACCACAGCCAATTTTAGAACATTTTAATCACTTCTAGAAGAAATCCCATACTCTTTAACTACAACCCTCAGAATTCCCCATCCCCACCCTCCAGCCTTAATCAACCACTGATCTATGATCTATCTCTATAGATTGTCCCTATTCTGGACTTTCATATGAATGGAATCATGTAGTTTGTGGTCTTTTGTGACTGGCTTCTTTCAGTTAGCAAAATGTTTTCAAGGTTCACCATGTTGTTGTATCTATCAGTACATTATTCCTGTTTATGGTTGAATAATATTCTCTTCTACGAATAGATACCATATTTTGTTATCCATTCATCTATTGGTAAATGTTTTATAAATTTATTTCTAATTTTTAATTTTTGTGGATACATAGTAAGTATATATGTTTATGGGATACATGAGATATTATGATGCAGGCATACAATGCATAATAATCACATCAGAATACATGGGGTATCCATCATCTCAAGCCTTTATCCTTTCTTTGTATTACAAACAACACAATTATACTCTTTTAGTTGTTTTAAAATGTACAATAAATTATAGTTGACTATAGTCACCCTGTTGTGCTGTCAAACACTAGATCTTATTCATTCTCTTTAACTATAGTTTTGTATCTATTAACCATTCTCATTCCCTCTCACCATTACCCTTCCCAGCCTCTGCTAACCATCATTCTACTTTCTATCTCTATGAGCAATTGTTTTAATTTTTAACTCCCACAGAAGTGTAAGAACATGCAAAGTCTGTCTTTCTGTACCTGGCTTTTTTCACTTAACATAATAACCTCCAGCTCCATTCATGTTGTTGCAAATTACAGGATCTCATCATTTTTTATGGCTGAATAGTACTCCATTGTGTATACTACATTTTCTTCATCCATTTGTCTGTTGATGAATACTTAGGTTACTTCTAAATCTGGGCCATTCTGAATAGTGTTTTAATTAACATCAGCTTGCAGATACCTCTTTGATACACTGATTTCCTTTCTTTTTAGTATGTATCTGGCAGTGGGATTGCTGTATCATATTGCTGTTCTATTTTTAGTTTTTTGAGGAATCTCCAAACTGTTCTCCACAGTGGCTGTACTAATTTGCATTCCCACCAACATTGTATGAGGGTTCACTTTTCTCCACATCCTCTCCAGCATATAAGCCATTTTAATTGGGGTGAGATGGTATCTCATTATAGTTTTGATTTGCATTTCTCTGATGATCAGTGATGTTGAGCACCTTTTCTTGTACCTGCTTGCTATTTGTATGTATTCTTTTGAGAAATGTCTATTCAGTTCTTTCACTCATTTTTAATCAAATTATTTGTTGTTTTTTTTTCCTATAAAGTTGTTTGAGCTCCTTCTATATTCTGGTTACTAATCCCTTGTCAGATGGATAGTTTGCGTGAATTTTCTCCCATTCTGTGTGTTGTCTCTTAACTTTGTTGGTTGTATCCTTTGCTATGCAGAAACTTTTCAATTTGATGTGATTCCATTTGTCCATTTTTGCTTAGACTGCCTATGCCTGTAGGATATTACTTAAGAAATATTTGCCCTGAACAATGTCCTGGAGAGTTTCCCCAATATTTTCTTTTGGTAATTCTATAGATTGAGGTCTTAGATTTTAATCCATTTTTATTTTATTTTTGTATATGGGAGAGACAGGGCTGTAGTTTTTATTCTTCTGCATATGGTTTTCTTCTTCATATCTTCTGCATATCCAGTTTTCTCAGCACCATGTGTTGAAGAGGTTGTCTTTTCCCCAGTGTATGTTCTGTTGCTAAATGTTTTTCATGTATTATCTCCTTTAATTCTATTCAGAATCCTGTGATATTCCCCCATTTTACTTGAAAAATGGAAGTAACTTGGTATAATACAATGGATTAGTTGGTGGAGTTGCTGAGATTTAAATGTGTACTGCCTGCCTATCTCTAGAACCCATATTCTGCAACACTAGGTTCCACCTCCTTAAATATGTTAATCATAAGTTGACCAATAATTCCACTTCCAGGAATTTTTAAGAAGAAAATAAATACTTACAGAAATATTGGTATACAATTATTATATATAAGATCATTTTTAGAAGTGAAAATTTGAGCATAATTTTATCATATAATGACTGTGGACTTGTTAAATTAAGGCACGTCAATACCATGACATATCATGCAGTTATAAAAATAATTTTCCAAAAACTAATAAAATAGAAAATTGAAGAGGTCATAGTTTTAAATGTAAAGAAACATTGTGCAATACTATACATAACTATGTACAGCAGATTCAATAGTTCACATGTTCATCATTTAAAAAATAGATATAATTTTGACTTCATGGGGATGTTAAAATTAATTATGTTTATATATGCAATGTGCTACAGTAGTTTATGTACACCTTATATAACTGTTGGGCACGTGTGCACAGACACAAACACCAAAAGACACACAGATAAACATAAAAATTCAGAGCAGAAAGATTGTGGGTGATCTTGATACTCCTTCATATTTTTCTATATTTTCCACATATTCAAAAGAAATCCAAAAACATCCAAGTTTGTGTAAAGAAATGTTTTAACATAAAGTAGTGACACAACAAAACAAAGAGAAACGTTTTATTCAATCTTTGTTCCACGGGATTTGGGCATTTTAGCTAAAGTAACCACTTCAGGTTTATCATGGAACATGAGGGTAGAGAGATAAAAATCATTCCAAAACTCTGTCTAACCTATATCCCTAAGTGTGAAAAAGTGATTTCTGTTTATAGACCTGGGCCTGTTTTGAAAAGTAGATAATCAAAATGATCCCATTTAGAAACAGATGCTTAGCAATCTTGAAATGAGCGGTAGGATATGCGGCAGAATTCTTTGCCACTGTCAGATGTTGCTTATTAACCCCCCACCTAGCTAAGTATGCCATTAGACTACAGAATAGTCTGCAAAACTACTGTCTTCCCAAGAAACAAGTTGTTGACATGTCAGCTGCAGAAGACAGTTTTCTAAAATCACTCATACGGTCTTCTTTTTAATAGTCCATACTTAATTAACACTCTTTGTCCTTCCATTTTATACAATATAAGACAGTTGTCATGAACTGATTTAACTTGCTCTAAACAGCATTTCACTAGAAACTAAAAGCTTTCATATCACTTTTGCATCATGCAGATACACAAAAAGAAAAAAGGAGTCTCCTGAGAGGAATTCATTTTCACATAACCACCTGCCTATCAACTGACATGCCAACATTAGCATAGGAGGCACTTTCATGGTTGAGACTTAGAATGACGCATTCCACTTCTTTTCCTTTTCTTTCTTATTTTTTTTGAAGACAGAATTTCACTCCTGTTGCCCAGGCTGGAGTGCAATGGCGTGACCTCGGCTCACTGCAACCTCCGCCTCTGAGGTTCAAGCGATTCTCCTGCCTCAGCCTCCTAAGTAGCTGGGATTACAGGCGCCCGCCACCACGCCCAGCTAATTTTTGTATTTTTAGTACAAATGGGGTTTCACCACGTTGGCCAGGCTGGTGTCGTACTCCTGACCTCAGGTGATCTGCCGGCCTAGGCCTCCCAAAGCACTGGGATTACAGGTGTGAGCCACCACACCCGGCCCCACTTCTTTTTCTAAATAAATTTTTTGCAGTACATTATTTTCTGATTATAAAATCGATACAGGCATACAATTTCTTTTTTTTTTTTTTTTTTTTTTGAGACGGAGTCTCGCTCTGTCACCCAGGCTGGAGTGCAGTGGCGCGATCTCGGATCACTGCAAGCTCCGCCTCCCGGGTTCACGCCATTCTCCTGCCTCAGCCTCCCGAGTAGCTGGGACTACAGGCGCCCGCCACTACACCTGGCTAATTTTTTTTTTCTATTTTTAGTAGAGACAGGGTTTCACCGTGTTAGCCAGGATGGTCTCGATTTCCTGACCTCGTGATCCGCCCGCCTCTGCCTCCCAAAGTGCTGGGATTACAAGTGTGAGCCACCGCGCCCGGCCAGGTACACAATTTCTTATCTCAAATCCCAAAAAGTGATCAATCGACCTTTGAAAATAAAGATTTTGCCACAACTCATTGTGAAAAAACCTGACCTGAACTGAGTTACCATAAAGCTGTATTAACATCACTTATTGTGTATATTAACACATTTTGCTGCAAAATATCAATATGCTTGTTTACAGAAGATTGTCTCAGACCCCACTGAAGGTGTAACCTAACATAAAATGTACATATCAGAAAATCATCCTAAAATTTAACAATTTCTCAATTCCAAAACATATTTGGTTAGATTGGTTTTGAAAAAGGGAATGTGGACCTGTATATTCTCATCACGAAAACATTATACAAAAAAGTATAAGAATTAAAATGAAGATAAGTCTTATGCCACTACTCAGAGCTGACAAATATGAACAATTTTGGTGAACATTTTTTACTGGTTTTTCCTATAGTTACATATGCCTAAAGGATGAATAAGCATGCACTTTTTTGTCATTTATTTTTACTGCATTTAATACTGTATCATGAACTTCTTTCACTGTAAATATAGATTATGTCATTAAAATAAAATATTGTGTATGTGCACTATAATGTATGCAAACAAATCTCTGTTTTTTAAAGATATTTAGGTTGTTTTAAAGTCACCACTATAAACAACACTGTGATAAATATCCTTATACATACACACCATTATTTCAGTAGGATTGATTTTAGGCCCAGGTTGGTAAGTAGGATAGCATGACTATATTAAATTTTGGCACTTATTTTTCAAATCGCCTTGCAAAAGGACAGCACCAATTTACATCTCCATATACAGTATAAACAGTGCTCATTTTCTCACACCGTCATCAGCATTGAGTATTAACAATCTTTTAAATATTTTGCACAAGCGAAGTACAAGACAAAAAGAAATCATCTTTTACTATATAATAACCTAGAGGGCTTAAATGTATCAGACAATAGAGTAACTTAGGGAAAGAAATCTAAGGAGAGGACAATGTAGCTTGTTTCCTATTTATAATTTTTTAAAACAAAGTCTGTTTCAATTGATGATTAAGTGATACATTATTTTCTATTGGATTTTTAAAATGAGGGAAGCATTGGTGAATATCTGTGGGACAAAATTCCTTCAATATCCAGATCTCAAAATGAATTAATATATGAGAAGTTGTATCAGATACACTAAAAAACTACTTCCAAGTTGTACAACAAAATTAATTCATTTTTTAAGAAGTGCAAAGACACAAACTTCTCAGGAAAAGTATATATATTTGTGTGCTGGGGATGATTAGCTGTGGTAGATTGAAAGGAGGGGTGACAATAGGATGAGAGAAATTGACTGAAGATGTCTGTTTCTTAATTTACCTACTATTTGATCTTGATAAAAAAGACACAGACTTTTTCTGTATCTCAGAGATTTTACAGGTGAAATGAGAACAATTTTTTAACCAATATTTCAGGATACAGTGAGAATAAATTAGCTTGACTTTTTCTGTGTCTTAGACAATTTATAGGTGAAATGAGAATAATTTAACCAATATCACAAGGTACTGTGAGATTTAAATGAGTTATCATACATTACAATGATCAGTACAGTCCTAAAAAATAATAGTGCATAACTATTAGTTTAACTTTAATAAAAGTGGGTTCTCATAATTTCATTCATTCATTCAACAAATGTTTCGTGTGTACATTTATTACTGTTTTAGTATTAATCTCATTTGACTCTATTCTGCAAAAACATTGGGGGAAATACAGATTCTGTTCAAATTGCAGTTCTGCCCCTTAATAATCTGTCCACTCTTTAAGTTTCTCACCTCCAAAATGGTAATTTTCATTCCTATTTCAAAGAGTAGTTGTAAGAATTAAATGAAGTAATGCATCTAAAGAACTGAGTGTGATGCACATAGTCAGTGCTCAATCATCTTGGTGGTGGTGGTGGTGGGTCGTCAAAGTTACCATCCCACTGCCTCCCACAGAGCTGGAGCCAATCAACGTCTATTTACTTCCTTCTTACTTTTTCTCTTTGGTTCATAGTCAAAGATTATACCATATACCTGGCAAGCCATTACAGGAATAGAGGACCCACCAGAAAACCTAAATGACATGGTGAGAATTAATCAGCTAGAAAAGTTTCTAACCAAAACAAAAAAATAAAAATATGTATTTTTCTAAGAACCACCCATTATTTATTAACATACATGATGAACATATAGGAAAATAATAAAATATAAATAGACTATGAGAGAATGTGCCATGATTACCAGAAAACCCCAAATAAAAATTTCATTGAAAATAATAATTATTTTTAAAATAGTTACTCCTCTCACCACCACAAAAGAAAAAAAAATAAACCTACACTTTCAGTATAGTACTTTGCTCTTTAAGGAAAATATAAGAGTCATAATTAAGTAATCATAATTTTTGAAAGGCATAATCTATTCTAAGTTCAAATCCATTAATTTCAAAATAACAATTCTTATAGTTTTATGTATCTTATTCATAATGACAACATATTTGACAACCATTATTTTATACTCTAAAACCACAGTCATTGATATTTAATCTAAATCATTATAGCAAAAGAACAGTAAAGTGATTCTAGAATTCAAATGTCTTTAAAGTTTGGATTAGCTGTCTTCAAGGGAGAAAACAAAGCCCCAATTTATTTATGGAAATATTGCCTTTGTAAAGGTCAAGGGTGAATCCCCACAGAATCAGTTGTTCAGCTAGCCCCAGAAATTGTTTTTACCCTTTTAACTTTCTCATTCTGAGCCACAATGGGACTGGGTCATAGGACAAAAAGGCACTAACGAGGACTGTCTCTATAGTTTCATAGAAGAAGAGAGATGGATGACTTGGCAGGGCAGCTGTGACATTATGAGCATTAGCCAAACAACTTTGTGGACTGTTTTCAGGAGAGGAAGAGGTACAGTTCTCTGGAAATAAAAACCTCAGATTTGCCTGAGTATACGTGGTCTCACCTGCTTTCTCCTGACATTCTAGCATTTGAATTTGTTCATGCAGCAGTAATATGATTGTCAGTTATGTGAAAAATGCATTCTGAATAACTGCTGGGTGTGAAAAACAGTTTCAGTATTTGAAGACTCTTAAGGTGGAAATACTCAATTCTTTCATCTAAGAGACTGATATGCTAAGGGAGGAGACCACCCCTCATATTGTCTTATGCCCAATTTCTGCCTCCAAAGAAAGAAGAAGTAAAAATTAAAAGGCAGAAATGGAATCTACAGGCAGATAGCCCAGCACCGCGCCCTGGGCCTGTTAGTTAAAAATCATCTCCTGACCTAACTGCTTGTGTTATCTATAGATTTCAGACATTGTATGGAATAGCATCGTGAAAATCCCTTTCCTGTTCTGTTCCATTCTGATTACCGGTGCATGCAGCCCCCAGTCATGTACCCCTGCTTGCTCAATTGCTCATGACCCTCTCACATGGACCCCCTTAGAGTTGTAAGCCCTTAAAAGGGACAGGAATTGCTCACTCACTCGGGGAGCTCGGTTTTTTGGAAATGTGAGTCCGTGGATGCTCCCAGCTGAATAAAACCCTTTCCTTCTACAACTCAGTGTCTGAGGGGTTCTTGTCTGTGGCTCGCCCTGCTACAATGCAAGTTGCTACTATGTAGTTCTCATCTTCAATAAAATGGATGGTGGTGGCTAAATAATATATTTACTTTATGAATTTGACTTCTACATCAAAACCTTGTCCCAATTTTTGTAAAGGAAATTTGAAGCATGTCATCAATTTAATAATTCAGGAAACATTTGAGTGATTATTAATAATCTTGATAAATCATAAATGGAGTTTAGACATAGAAATGCTACATAATATTAAAAATTTTTCCCCTAATGTGAATTTAGGGAGATTCAGCCCTATCTTCTTTCACTTGAGATCATAGACTTATTCATAGCATCTAAACTGTTAGGAATTTAGATTAGGTTTAAGGGAGTTTACTCTACTTCCCCTCATACTGTTCCCTTGATACAACTATAGATAGAAATCAGGACAAGGAAATGGGCTGAAATGTCAAATCAGCTTTAGAGGCTGTTGACTGTGCACACGGAATCAGCGTGGGTGAGAGCCGGTAATTTCCATAGGAGGAAAAGCAGGCAGAGGTCAAGGACTGAGCTAAAAGATCTTACCGCCACCTAGTTGGTGAGGACAGTTTAGCACCCCAATAGTAGGGGATGGGGGAGATAAAATTTAATCCTCAAAGGCAAAACACAATCTGTTAAGTAGAAAAGGCCTGCCCTCTTTGTTGTGCAGTAGAAATGAATAATCTTTACTCTCCTAGAGTTTTCTGAAAAACCTAAAAATTTACATTTCTCTTTCTTTGGGGCTTTGTGGCTTCTTCTCATTCTTAGGAGTCCCAACATACTATTTGGGGAAAGGATTCATCTTTCTTTTTTACCTTCAGATTGATTTTCTAAGAGATTTTCTCCTCAGTCCATGGGCAGAAGTGTATGTCAGAGCCAGAACCCTGTTTTACCTAGACAAACCTGCCATAAAATAGCAGACCTTTCTATAATACAATAAGGGACTAAATATCAGGAGAAAACTAAGAAAGTGCATTCCAGTATAAGTCACTAACCATATCCCTTCTTTCAAGATTCTGCCTCTTATGAGCTATCAAAATCAAAAGTAACTGTCTTAAACACCTGTTACTAAAATAGGAGGAACTTCATTACTTCCAGTTGAAAATATACTAATAAAAAAGGAACAATATATTAAACAGTAAAGATAGGTACTGGTTTATAGTTGTTGAAAGATTCTCCCCGGGGCCTGAAAGCTTGAAGGGATGAGTAACTCCTCCCTCCTCAGGCCCAGTCCCAAGGTGCAAGGCCACTTGTGCCAGCACCATGCGTAAGCAAGACAGCAGAAGCAGGAAGAGAGCCGCCCAGAAGACACCTACCCTGGCCAGAAGGCACCTACCCTGGCTGGAAGACATGTACCCCTGAAGATCGAGAAAGAGGCCATCCAGGTACTAGGTAGCAGTCATGTCAGACTGGGACACTTAGCCCTGCCCTGTCCTCATTTGGACCTAACGCCATTTTAGGCCTCAGCCCGCCTGCACCCAGGCGCTCATTAAAACAGCACGTTGCGCCACACTGCCTCGTGTTGTCCATTGGCACGCTCTCGGGGTTTGAACTGATACAAGAACCTTTCAGTTGTGTCATGAGATGGCCAGCTTTTCTACTTACATTGTCCCTTTCTACCATTCCAGGCAGTAGTTAAAGGTCTGACTTCTGGACCTTGGTATAGAGTCAAAAAGGTGTTGAATTCATGAGGCAATATACACATCTAAAAACCTGACCTTAGCGATTGATTTGTTTGGATCAGTGCTATAATTTTTATAGAAAGAAAGAATTCCCCCAACCTTCAAATCCTTTGGTCAAATGTTTACTCTTCACTCCAAGCACATAAGAACTGTTTTGCCCGCTGGTGGCAAGTAACAGAGTG